>NC_000011.10:56646286-56949316 GCF_000001405.40 Homo sapiens | reverse complement strand
CACATTGTTAGATTGTCCAGTGGCTAAAGCCTCCAAACAAAGAAAGACATTCTTATTAGGCAGTACACTCCAGTGATTCAGAGATTGTCTCCCAGTAGCTGAGGGCAAAGGTCAGATTTGTCTTTAGGTAAGCTTCATTCTTCACTACAATTTCTCCCCCAGTACATGACCTTTACTCACAGCCATATCTCAGGAATGCAAACTAAGACAAGTGCCACCATAGCTACAATGGAAGCTTGGACAAAAAGACTTTATTTATATGGCTGCATTACCTTCCACACAAAATAATAGTCCTTTCAGGAAGAAATAAAGGAAAATGAATAGTGGGTAGACAACCAACTATATTTTATTACAACTATGGAATACACATATGGGTTAATAAATAAATTCTTTGTCTTTCAGCTTGTGTAGGTATTCTCTTCCCCATGTTATTTCTGTCCAAAAATGCTCTCTGTATGATGCCATATTTCTTCCATCAGAGTCTAGACTAATATTTTTTAAAAATAAAGGTAGCCAAAACAGACTTTAAACCAACAAAGATGAAAAGAGACAAAGAAGGCCATTACATAATGGTAAAGGGATCAATTCAACAAGAAGAGCTAACTAGGTGGGCTGTTCCAAGATGGCTGATAGGAGCAGCTCCAGTCTACAGCTCCCAGTGTGAGCGACGCAGAACATGGGTGATGTCTGCATTTCCAAATGAGGTACCGGGTTCATCTCACCAGGGCTTGTTGGACAGTGGGTGCAGGACAGTGGGTGCAGTGCATGGAGCATGAGCTGAAGCAGGGTGTCAAGGAAGCTCGAACTGGGTGGAACCCACCGCAGTTCTAGGAGGCCTGCCTGCCACTGTAGACCCCACCTCTGGGGGAAAGGCATAGCCAAACAAAAGACAGCAGAAACCTCTGCAGACTTAAATGTCCCTGTCTGACAGCTTTGAAGAGAGTAGTGGTTACCCCAGCACGGAGTTTGAGATCTGAGAATGGACAGACTGCCTCCACCAGTGGGTCCCTGACCCCCGAGTAGCCTATCTGGGAGGCATCCCCCAGTAGGGGCAGACTGACACCTCACACGGCCGGGTACCCCTCTGAGACAAAATCTCCAGAGGGACGATCAGACAGCAACATTTGCTGTTCAGCAATATTCGCTGTTCTGCAGCCTCTGCTGCTGATACCCAGGCAAAGAGGGTCTGGAGTGGACCTCCAGCAAACTCCAACAGACCTGCAGGTGAGGGTCCTGACTGTTAGAAGGAAAACTAACAAACAGAAAGGACATCCACACCAAAACCCCATCTGTATGTCACCATCATCAAAGACCAAAGGTAGATAAAACCACAAAGATGGGGATAAAGCAGAGCAGAAAAACTGAAAATTCTAAAAATCAGAGCTCCTCTCCCCACTCCAAAGGACTGCAGCTCCTCACCAGCAAGGGAACAAAGCTGGATGGAGAATGACTTTGACGAGTTGAGAGAAGAAGGCTTCAGATGATCAAACTTCTCTGAGCTAAAGGAGGAAGTTTGAACACATCACAAAGAAGTTAAAAACCTTGAAAAAAGATTAGATGAATGGCTAACTAGAATAACCAATGCAGAGAAGTCCTTAAAGGATCTGATGGAGCTGAAAACCATGGCATGAGAACCACATGACGAATGCACAAGCCTCAGTAGCCAATGCGATCAACTGGAAGAAAGGGTATCAGTGATGGAAGATGAAATGAATGAAATGAAGCAAGAAGAGAAGTTTAGAGAAAAAAGAATAAAAAGAAATGAACACAGCCTCCAAGAAATATGAGACTATGTGAAAAGACCAAATCTACTTCTGATTGGTGTACCTGAAAGTAATAAGGAGAATGGAACCAAGTTGGAAAACACTCTGCAGGATATTATCCAGGAGAACTTCCCCAATCTAGCAAGGCAAGCCAACATTCACATTCAGGAAATACAGAGAATGCCACAAAGATAGTCAAGAAGAGCAACTTCAAGACACATAATTATCAGATTCACCAAAGTTGAAGTGAAGGAAGAAATGTTAAGGGCAGCCAGAGAGAAAGGTCAGGTTACCCACAAAGGGAAGCCCATCAGACTAACAGCTGACCTCTCAGCAGAAACTCTACAAGCCAGAAGAAAGTGGGGACCAATATTGAACATTCTTAAAGAAAAGAATTTTTGACCCAGAATTTCATATCCAGCCAAACTAAGCTTCATAAGTGAAGGAGAAATAAAATACTTTACAGACAAGCAAATGCTGAGAGATTTTGTCACCACCAGGCCTGCCCTAAAAGAGCTCCTGAAGGAAGCACTAAACATGGAAAGGAATAACCAGTACCAGCCACTACAAAAACATGCCAAATTGTAGAGACCATCGAGACTAGGAAGAAACTGCATCAACTAATGAGCAAAATAACCAGCTAACATCATAATGACAGGATCAAATTCACACATAACAATATTAACCTTAAATGTAAATGGGCTAAATGCTCTAATTATAAGACACAGACTGGCAAATTGGATAAAGAGTCAAGACCCATCAGTGTGCTGTATTCAGGAGACCCATCTCATGTGAGAGACACACATAGGCTCAAAACAAAGGGATGGAGGAAGATCTACCAAGCAAATGGAAAACAAAAAGAGGCAGGGGTTGCAATCCTAGTCTCTGATAAAACAGACTTTAAACCAACAAAGATCAAAAGATACAAAGAAGGCCATTACGTAATGGTAAAGGGATCCATTCAACAAGAAGAGTTAACTATCCTAAAAATATGTGCACACAACACAGGAGCACCCAGACTCATATAGCAAGTCCTTAGAGACCTACAAAGAGACTTAGATGCCCACACAACAATAATGGGAGACTTTAACACCCCACTGTCAACATTAGACAGATCAACAAGACAAAAATTTAACAAGGATATCCAGGAATTGAAATCAGCTCTGCACCAAGCGGACCTAATAGATGTCTACAGAAATCTCCTCTCCAAGTCAACAGAATATACATTTTTCTCAGCACCACACCACACCTATTCCAAAATTGACCACATAGTTGGAAGTAAACCACTGCTCAGCAAATGTAAAAGAACAGAAATTATAACAAACTGTCTCTCAGACCACAGTGCAATCAAACTAGAACTCAGGATTAAGAAACTCACTCAAGGAGAGAGGAGCCAAGATGACCGAATAGGAACAGCTCCAGGCTACAGCTCCCAGCATGAGCGATGCAGAAGATGGGTGAATTCTGCATTTCCATCTGAGGTACCGGGTTCATCTCACTAGGGAGTGCCAGACAGGGGCGCAGGTCAGTGGGTGCAGCGCACCATGTGCGAGCCAAAGCAGGGCGAGGCATCACCTCACTCGGGAAGTGCAAGGGGTCAGGGAGTTCCCTTTCCTAGTCAAAGAAAGTGGTGACAGACGGCACCTGGAAAATCAGGTCACTCCCACCCGAATACTGCACTTCTCCGATGGGCTTAAAAAAATGGTGCACCAGGAGATTATATCCCGCACCTGGTTTGGAGGGTCCTACGCCCACAGAGTCTCACTGACTGCTAGCACAGCAGTCTGAGATCAAACTGCAAGGTGGCAGTGAGGCCGGGGGAGGGGCGCCTGCCCTTGCCCAGGCTTGCTTAGGTAAACAAAGCAGCCGGAAAGCTCCAACTGTGTGGAGACCACCACAGCTCAAGGAGGCCTGCCTGCCTCTGTAGGCTCCACCTCTGGGGCAGGGCACAGACAAACAAAAAGACAGCAGTAACCTCTGCAGACTTAAATGTCCCTGTCTGACAGCTTTGAAGAGAGCAGTGATTCTCCCAGCACGCAGCTGGAGACCTGAGAATGGGCAGACTGCCTCCTCAAGTGGGTCCCTGACCCCTGACCCCTGAGCAGCCTAACTGGGAGGCACCCCCCAGCCGGGGCAGACTGACACCTCACATGGCCGGGTACTCCAACAGACCTGCAGCTGAGGGTCCTGTCCGTTAGAAGAAAAACTAACAAACAGGAAGGACATCCACACCAAAAACCCATCTGTACATCACCATCATCAAAGACCAAAAGTAGATAAAACCACAAAGATGGGGAAAAAACAGAACAGAAAAACTGGAAACTCTAAAAAGCAGAGCGCCTCTCCTCCTCTAAAGGAACGCAGTTCCTCACCAGCAACCGAACAAAGCTGGATGGAGAATGACTTTGACGAGCTGAGAGAAGAAGGCTTCAGACGATGAAATTACTCCAAGCTATGGGAGGACATTCAAACCAAAGGCAAAGAAGTTGAAAACTTTGAAAAAAATTTAGAAGAATATATAACTAGAAAAACCAATACAGAGAAGTGCTTAAAGGAGATGATGGAGCTGAAAACCAAGGCTCGAGAACTACGTGAAGAATGCAGAAGTCTCAGGAGCTGATGCGATCAACTGGAAGAAAGGGTACCAGCGATGGAAGATGAAATGAATGAAATGAAGCGAGAAGGGAAGTTTAGAGTAAAAAGAATAAAAAGAAATGAGCAAAGCCTCCAAGAAATATGGGACTATGTGAAAAGACCAAATCTATGTCTGATTGGTGTACCTGAAACTGACGGGGAGAATGGAACCAAGTTGGAAAACACTCTGCAGGATATTATCCAAGAGAACTTCCCCAATCTAGCAAGGCAGGCCAACATTCAGATTCAGGAAATACAGAGCACGCCACAAAGATACACCTCGAGAAGAGCAACACCAAGACACATAATTGTCAGATTCACCAAAGTTGAAATGAAGGAAAAAATGTTAAGGGCAGCCAGAGAGAAAGGTCGGGTTACCCACAAAGGGAAGCCCATCAGACTAACAGCAGATCTCTTGGCAGAAACTCTACAAGCCAGAAGAGAGTGGGGGCCAATATTCAACATTCCTAAAGAAAAGAATTTTCAACCCAGAATTTCGTATCCAGATAAACTAAGCTTCATAAATGAAGGAGAAATAAAATACTTTACAGACAAGCAAATGATGAGAGATTCTGACACCACCAGGACTGCCCTAAAAGAGCTCCTGAAGGAAGCGCTAAACATGGAAAGGAATAACCAGTACCAGCCACTACAAAAACATGCCAAATTGTAAAGACCATCGAGACTAGGAAGAAACTGCGTCAACTAATCAGCAAAATAACATCATAATGATAGGATCAAATACACACATAACAATATTAACTTCAAATGTAAATGGACTAAATGCTCCAATTAAAAGACACAGACTGGCAAATTGGATAAAGAGTCAAGACCCATCAGTGTGCTGTATTCAGGAAACCCATCTCACGTGCAAAGACACAGATAGGCTCAAAATAAAAGGATGGAGGAAGATCTACGAAGCAAATGGAAAACAAAAAAAGGCAGGGATTGCAAATCTAGTCTCTGATAAAACAGACTTTAAATGAACAAAGATCAAAAGAGACAAAGAAGGCCATTACTTAATGGTAAAGGGATCAATTCAACAAGAAGAGCTAAGTATCCTAAATATATATGCACCCAATACAGGAGCACCCAGATTCATAAAGTAAGTCCTGAGTGACCTACAAAGAGAGTGAGACTCCCACACATTAATAATGGGAGACTTTAACACCCCACTGTCAACATTAGACAGAGCAACGAGAGAGAAAGTCAACAAGGATAACCAGGAATTGAACTCAGCTCTGCACCAAGCGGACCTAATAGACATCTACAGAACTCTCCACCGCAAATCAACAGAATGTACATTTTTTTCAGCACCACACCACACCTATTCCAAAATTGACCACATACTTGGAAGTAAAGCTCTCCTCAGCAAATGTAAAAGAACAGAAATTATAACAAACTATCTCTCAGACCACAGTGCAATCAAACTAGAACTCAGGATTAAGAATCTCACTCAACATGGGCAAGGACTTCATGTCTAAAACACCAAAAGCAATGGCAACAAAAGACAAAATTGACAAATGGGATCTAATTAAACTAAAGAGCTTCTGCACAGCCAAAGAAACTACCATCAGAGTGAACAGGCAACCTACAAAATGGGAGAAAATTTTTGCAAGCTACTCATCTGACAAAGGGCTAATATCCAGAATCTACAATGAACTGAAACAAATTTACAAGAAAAAAACAAACAACCCCATCAAAAAGTGGGCAAAGGACATGAACAGACACTTCTCAAAAGAAGACATTTATGCAGCCAAAAAACACATGAAAAAATGCTCATTATCACTGGCCATCAGAGAAATGCAAATCAAAACCACAATGAGATACCATCTCACACCAGTTAGAATGGCAATCATTAAAAAGTCAGGAAACAACAGGTGCTGGAGAGGATGTGGAGAAATAGGAACACTTTTACACTGTTGGTGGGACTGTAAACTAGTTCAAGGATTGTGGAAGTCAGTGTGGCGACTCCTCAGGGATCTAGAACTGGAAATACCATTTGACACAGCCATCCCATTACCAGGTATATACCCAAAGGACTATAAATCATGCTGCTATAAAGACACATGCACACGTATGTTTATTGCGGCATTATTCACAATAGCAAAGACTTGGAACCAACCCAAATGTCCAACAATGATAGACTGGATTAAGAAAATGTGGCACATATACACCATGGAATACTATGCAGCCATAAAAAATGATGAGTCCATGTCCTTTGTAGGGACATGGATGAAATTGGAAATCATCATTCTCAGTAAACTATCGCCAAGAACAAAAAACCAAACACCGCATATTCTCACTCATAGGTGGGAATTGAACAATGAGATCACATGGACACAGGAAGGGAAATATCACACTCTGGGGACTGTTGTGGGGTGGTGGGAGGGGGGAGGGATAGCATCAGGAGATATACCTAATGCTGGATGACGAGTTAGTGGGTGCAGCGCACCAGCATGGCACATGTATATATATGTAACTAACCTGCACAATGTGCACGTGTACCCTAAAACTTAAAGTATAATAAAAAAAAAAGAATCTCACTCAAAACCGCTCAACTACATGGCAACTGAACAACCTGCTCCTGAATGACTACTGGGTACATAACAAAATCAAGGCAGAAATAAACATGTTCTTTGAAACCAATGAGAATAAAGATGCAACATAGCAGAATCTCTGGGATGCATTCAAAGCAGTGTGTAGAGGGAAATTTATAGCACTAAATGCCCACAAGAGAAAGCAGGAAAGATCCAAAATTGACACCCTAACATCACAATTAAAAGAACTAGAAAAGCAAGAGCAAACACATTCAAAAGCTAGCAGAAGGCAAGAAATAACTAAAATCAGAGCAGAACTGAAGGAAATAGAGACACAAAAAACCCTTCAAAAAATTAACAAATCCAGGAGCTGGTTTTTTGAAAGGATCAACAAAATAGACTGCTAGAAAGACTAATAAAGAAAAAAAGAGAGAAGAATCAAATAGATGCAATAAAAAATGATAAAGGGGATATCACCACCGATCCCACAGAAATACAAACTACCATCAGAGAATACTACAAACACCTCTATGCAAATAAACTAGAAAATCTAGAAGAAATGGATAAATTCCTTGACACATACACTCTCCCAAGACTAAACCAGGAAGAAGTTGAATCGCTGAATAGACCAATAACAGGATCTGAAATTGTGGCAATAATCAATAGCTTACCAACCAAAAAGAGTCCAGGACCAGATGGATTCACAGCCAAATTCTACCAGAGGTACAAGAAGGAACTGGTACCATTACTTGTGAAATGATTCCAATCAATAGAAAAAGAGGGAATCCTCCCTAATTCATTTTATGAGGCCAGCATCATCCTGATACCAAAGCCGGGCAGAGACACAACCAAAAAAGAGAATTTTAGACCAATATCATTGATGATCATTGATGCAAAAATCCTCAATAAAATACTGGAAAACCGAATCCAGCAGTACATCAGAAAGCTTATCCACCATGACCAAGTGGGCTTCATCCCTGGGATGCAAGGCTGGTTCAATATACGCAAATCAATAAATGTAATCCAACATATAAACAGAACCAAAGACAAAAGCCACATGATTATCTCAAAAGATGCAGAAAAGGCCTTTGACAAAATTCAACCACCCTTCATGCTAAAAACTCTCAATAAATTAGGTATTGATGGGACCTATCTCAAAATAATAAGAGCTATCTATGACAAACCCACAGCCAATATCATACTGAATGGGCAAAAACTGGAAGCATTCCCTTTGAAAACTGGCACAAGACAGGGATGCCCTCTCTCACCACTCCTATTCAACATAGTGTTGGAAGTTCTGCACAGGGCAATTAGGCAGAAGAAGGAAATAAAGGGTATTCAATTAGGAAAAGAGGAAGTCAAATTGTCCCTGTTTGCAGACGACATGATTGTATATCTAGAAAACCCCACTGTCTCAGCCCAAAATCTCCTTAAGTTGATAAGCAACTTCAGCAAAGTCTCAGGATACAAAATCAAGGTACAAAAATCACAAGCATTCTTATACACCAACAACAGACAAACAGAGAGCCAAATCATGAGTGAACTCCCATTCACAATTGCTTCAAAGAGAATAAAATACCTAGGAATCCAACTTACAAGGGACGTGAAGGACCTCTTCAAGGAGACCTACAAACCACTGCTCAATGAAATAAAAGAGGATACAAACCAATGGAAGAACATTCCATGCTCATGGGTAGGAAGAATCAATATCGTGAAAATGTCCATACTGCCCAAGGTAATTTACAGATTCAATGCCATCCCCATCAAGCTACCAATGACTTTCCTCACAGAATTGGAAAAAACTACTTTAAGGTTCATATAGAACCAAAAAAGAGCCCACATCACCAAGTCAATCCTGAGCCAAAAGAAGAAAGCTGGAGGCATCACACTACCTGACTTCAAACTATACTACAAGGCTACAGTAACCAAAACAGCATGGTACTGGTACCAAAACAGAGATATAGATCAATGGAACAGAACAGAGCCCTCAGAAATAACGCCGCATATCTACAACTATGTGATCTTTGACAAACCTGAGAAAAACAAGCAATGGGGAAAGGATTCCCTATTTAATAAATGGTGCTGGGAAAACTGGCTAGCCATATGTAGAAAGCTGAAACTGGAACCCTCCCTTACACCTTATACAAAAATTAATTCAAGATGGATTAAAGACTTAAATGTTAGACCTAAAACCACAAAAACCCTAGAAGAAAACCTAGGCAACACTATTCAGGACATAGGCATGGGCAAGGACTTCATGTCGAAAACATAAAAAGCAATGGCAACAAAAGCCAAAATTGACAAATGGGATCTAATTAAACTAAAGAGCTTCTGCACAGCAAAAGAAACTACCATCAGAGTGAACACGCAACCTACAGAATGGGAGAAAATTTTTGCAACATACTCATCTGACAAAGGGCTAATATCCAGAATCTGCAATGAACTCAAACAAATTTACAAGAAAAAAACAAACAACCCCATCAAAAAGTGGGCAAAGGACATGAACAGACACTTCTCAAAAGAAGACATTTATGCAGCCAAAAAACACATGAAAAAATGCTCACCATCACTGGCCATCAGAGAAATGCAAGTCAAAACCACAGTGAGATACCATCTCACACCACTTAGAATGGCAATCATTAAAAAGTCAGGAAACAACAGGTGCTGGAGAGACTGTGGAGAAATAGGAACACTTTTACACTGTTGGTGGGACTGTAAATTAGTTCAACCATTGTGGAAGTCAGTGTGGCGATTCCTCAGGGATCTAGAACTAGAAATACCATTTGACTCAGCCATCCCATTACTGGGTATATACCCAAAGGACTATAAATCATGCTGCTATAAAGACACATGCACACGTATGTTTATTGTGACACTATTCACAATAGCAAAGACTTGGAACCAACCCAAATGTCCAACAATGATAGACTGGATTAAGAAAATGTGTCACATACACACTATGGAATACCATGCAGCCATAAAAAATGATGAGTTCATGTCCTTTGTAGGGAAATAGATGAAGCTGGAAACCATCATTCTCAGCAAACTATCGCAAGAACAAAAAACCAAACACCGCATGTTCTTACTCATAGGTGGGAACTGAACAATGAGAACACTTGGACACAGGAAGGGGAATATCACACACCGGGGCCTGTCATGGAGTGGGAGAAGTAGGGAGGGAAAGCATTAGGACATATACCTAATGTAAATGACGAGTTAATGGGTGCAGGACACCAACATGGCACATGTGTACTTATGTAACAAACCTGCACATTGTGCACATGTACCCTAGAACTTAAAGTATAATAGAAAAAAAATAAAGTTAGCTGAGGCTGGGCGTGGTGGCTCCTGCCTGTAATCCCAGTATTTTGGGAGGACAAGGTGGGCAGATCTCCTGAGGTCAGGAGTTCAAGACCAGCCTGGCCAACATGTTGAAACCCTGTCTCTACTGAAAATACAAAAATTAGGCAGATGGGGTGGTGCATGCCTGTAATTCCAGCTACTTGGGAGGCTGAGGCTGAAGAATCGCTTGAACCCGTGAGGCAGAGGTTGCAGTGAGCCGAGGTCGGGCCATTGCGCTCCTGCCTGGGTGACAGGGCAAGGCTCCATCTCAAAAAATAAAATACAATAAATAAAATAAAATAAAATAAATAAAATTAGCCATCTTTGCTAATCGTTGACTTCAAGTTTTGGTTGGAGATTTGAGCTTCTGTTGTAATGTTTTGGATACAATTACTGGACCTAGGAAGTCTTTATAAAACATGGACTGCTAAACAGTTTGCTGTAATGAAATGTAGCTAGTAAGTTTTGTAATTAGTAGATAACATTCGAATTTTCCATGTGCAGACCTTGTTCACTAATTAAACAGCTATTTTAATTACCACCTATTAAATTCCTGACAATTAACAGATACTGGGAATACAATAATGAGCGGAAAAGTCATCCTTCTCTTAACAGAGATTTCATTTAAGTGGTTTTCGTTTACACAGCTATGGTAGAATGAATTATATCCTGATCTGGGTGTCAGTTGAAAAACAATTTACTCTGAGTAGAAATCTACCATGGTGTGGTAGGTTATAAAAATGACCACAAATTGTTTTCTTTATTGCATTCACACCATTAGGATGCGATGTACAACCTGTGTACTAAAGCTTTTCTGCAAACAATTTCTTTTCTTGACTCAAAGCTTTCATGACCTCCCTTTGAATTCCCATTGAGTTTCTGTAGTTTAAAGTTATTCTTTCAAAAAACCAGCTCCTGGATTCATTGATTTTTTGAAGGGTTTTTTGTGTCTCTATTTCCTTCAATTCTGCTCTGATTTTAGATAGACTGGATTAAGAAAATGTGGCACATATACACCATGGAATACTATGCAGCCATAAAAAATGATGAGTTCATGTCCTTTGTAGGGACATGGATGAAATTGGAAACCATCATTCTCAGTAAACTATCACAAGAACAAAAAACCAAACACCGCATATTCTCACTCATAGGTGGGAATTGAACAATGAGATCACATGGACACAGGAAGGGGAATATCACACTCTGGGGACGGTGGTGGGTGGGGGGAGGGGGGAGGGATAGCATTGGGAGATATACCTAATGCTAGATGACGAGTTAGTGGGTGCAGCGCACCAGCATGGCACATGTATACATATGTAACTAACCTGCACAATGTGCACATGTACCCTAAAACTTAAAGTATAATAAAAAATAATAATAATAATAAAATTAAAAAAAAATAAAGTTATTCACCTGAACAAAATGAATGGTATGCCTTTTGCAAATAAATGATCACTGGCTAGGCTTTTAGGTCCACCTATTTCTAGATTATCTTTATCGAAGATAGAAATAGAAAATAATTGCAAGAGTTCCCTTTTTCCTAGGCAAGAAGGAGTCAGATGCGGTATAAAGAGGGTAGCTAATGATAGAAATAAGTGTTTTTTTAAGTGCCATAAAATGTAACAAATATGGGAATATAGGGTAGAAAAAATAGCCTGAGTCATAAGAGGCTTTTTAAGGCAATGCATTTATTTATCTTACATTCATATTTTTGCAATAATTTGGACATTCAGATTTTTGCAATAATTTGGGCAAATTTAAAGGGCCTCATATGTATTGTTTTTGTCACTATGTTGTGACATATTCTGGCTTTGATTGTTTTTCTTAATTGGGAGGTTTAAAATAGGCCATGTTGAGGTAGTCAGACTCAACTAATTTGAAGCCTAGAGTTTGAATTTTGTTTTGGACAGCATATTTGTCTTTTGTGAATAAGCTTTCTTCTTACTTTGTAAATAAGCTATTTCTTTATTTGTAAATAAGCTTTTCAACTACCACCCACACCCATTTGGTCGCAGGCTGGGATGAGGGTCAGGGCCTCTTGGCAAAAGGATTAGGTTGGCAGGAATTGTAGGATTTAGGGTAGTGGCTATTTACTGGCTGACATGGTAGTATCTCAGTATTTTAACAACTGATGCAGGTTAACTGGCCGAATATTATCTTGTGCTTGTAGGATTAGCAGGAAAATCTGGACATGTGCCCTTTCAGTGGTATAGACCAGAACTTTCCAACCTGCATCCTGGGAGACCCTAATTTACTGAAATATTGATCCCCTCCTCTCTCAGTTGAGTCAAGAGGGGTCTGGGACAGCCATTGTTTCCAGGTGGTCATCAGGGAGAAGGGGATCCTATTCCATTTACCCTTAATGTTTCACATAAACTTTACAATTTTATGTTTGTGCTATTTCATAAAACTTGTTTTTTGCAGTGTGCAAATTAAGATCTCTCTCTGTGTTTTTTAAAATGATGAGAAGCTTTCAAACATTAGCAAAATAATCCTTTTAGGATATAGTAGCAACATATCCACTATACATTCGTCAGTCTGGATGTTTAGTTCCTGCTTGGTATAAACCCAACTCAATTTTTTCAAACTGAGCAAAGTTGGTCAAACATGAAATTAAATGGGCTTGCATCTATAATGCCTTCTCTCAGGATGTGTCTTTGCTTATTAGCCATACCTCTAAACTTTCTCCTCTCCCACCTTCTGCATCATACACTGTCTTATGTTTCCTGCTAGGTCTCGGTTAATCCTTTTTTATCACTACTGGTCCTGCTTTCTTATCTCTCTTCTGCAGTGAAAACAGCTTTAAGATTCTCTGTCAAATCAAGTCTCTTTCTCTACTATTTTCCTCAGTTAACTCTTCGGGGAGTATGCTCAAGTTGGTATCTTTTGTCCTTATTTTCCTTTTAAGATCCTCAGGGATCTAGAACTAGAAATACCATTTGACCCAGCCATCCCATTACTGGGTATATACTCAAAGGACTATAAATCATGCTGCTATAAAGACACATGCACACGTATGTTTATTGTGGCACTATTCACAATAGCAAAGACTTGGAACCAACCCAAATGTCCAACAATGATAGACTGGATTAAGAAATTGTGGCACATATACACCATGGTATACTATGCAGCCATAAAAAATGATTAGTTCATGTCCTTTATAGGGACATGGATGAAATTGGAAATCATCGTTCTCAGTAAACTATCGCAAGGACAAAAAACCAAACACCGCATGTTCTCACTCATAGGTGGGAATTGAACAATGAGAACACATGGACACAGGAAGGGGAACATCACACTCTGGGGACTGTTGTGGGGTGGGGGGAGTGGGGAGGGATAGCATTAGGAGATATATCTAATGCTAAATGAAGAGTTAATGGGTGCAGCACACCAGCATGGCACATGTATACATATGTAACTAACCTGCACATTGTGCACATGTACCCTAAAACCTAAAGTATAAAAAAAAAAAATCCAGAAGGACATTTTTTCCAATTATCTGCTAGACATCTTCATTTAGGTTTTCTTTTCATACCATAAACTCAAGGTGCTTAAAAGCAGCCCTTCGCTTTTGCTTCACATTCTAGTTTTCTTCATCCTCTACTTTGCTGCCACCTACAATCCAAACTTTGGGGTGTCTTTGGGTTCCCCTGAATGTTTAATTACTTACCATATTCTATGGATCCAGTATCCACAATGTGTCTCTGTGTATTCCCTTACATTGCATATTTTTATTATCAGCCAAACTCATTATCTCTCACCCAGGTTTCACAATAGGAACTTCATTGATCTCTCCACCTCCACGCTATTCACTCTTCCAGTCTTTCCTTTGTGTGGTTTTAAGTTAGGTTTTTCCAGAGCTCAATTCCAATTAAACTACTCCTTAGCTCACAGGCCTTTGCACTTGCCTCTCATGATCTTGCCCATCAGGATCTCATGTCAGGTTTCTTTGCATTCTTCTCTATGGACCCATCTGGTCTACTAAACCAAGCACAAACTTTTCAGCTAGAATTTTAGATTTTTTTTCCCAATACGAGCTCAGTTTAACTTTCTAGGCTTATCTATCATTGCTCTAATTAACTAACAAACTAATCATTACTAAAATATTTATTGAACATCCACTCTATGTCTCTATGCCAAACAGTGGACCCCAGTCCATTGTTAGGATAAAATGCTAAGGATTTGATTGCTAGGGATACATTGCTAGGGATGAAATGGTGAATAACAGCATACAGAATCACTGCTCTCATGGAGTTTTCAGTCTTGTGAGTGGCACAGGCAGAGATCATTTGTATCAGTGAGGTGCACAGGGCACAAAAGCTTATAAAGGGAATATTAACCTGGTAATTTAAATCTGGGATGAGTGTCCAGAGAAAACTATGCTTATATAAGTAATAGGAAATTATTTCGAATGCTGTCAAAAAGCCAAGGCCAACCATACTTATGGAGGAATGAAATTTAAGTGATAGTGAGGAAACCACCTTGCAAACAGTTCTACAGTCACATAGGCCTCCTACTCTGCTGTCCGAACAGAAATTTGCTCCTGCCTCAGGGCCTTTGCACTTGCCTTTGATGATTCTGCTTCTCAGGATGTCATGGCAGGCTCCTTCAATATTCTCAGATTCCCTTCTGCCTGACCCCCTGAACTAATCTAGTCCCCTGCTTATCATTCTCTCTCACCTCATCCTATTTATTTTCTTTAAATGTAATCATCTTGTTTTTTCTTCCATTTACTTGTTTATTGACTGCCTTCTGCACTAGAATATAAACTCCTAGAGGTAGGGCTTCTGACTCTTCATTCACATCACCTAGGTCAATGCCTGATAAATGGTAAGTGCTCAATTAATGTTGCAAATGAAAGAGAATAATAAAGATATATATGAAGGATCATGAAGTTATATATATATATCTCATATATCTCTCTGTTATATCTATATATCTATATATATTTTTATATATAGACATCTATTTTTCTATTTATATATCTCTAGATAGATACATAGATATTTCTCTCTAGATATGTCTCTGATATGAGAGATAAGTATATATGAGAATATATATAGATATCTACATATATCTATATATGATAGCTCTCTATATATGAGAAGGTCTATTCTGTGGGGAGTTAATAATTGATTTTTCAGAAATGATAACTACATTATGTTTTCTTAGAGATGCGGCTGCTACACAATTTTTGCCACTTTGTTTTTCAACTTCTATTTTAGATTCTGGGGTACATGTACAGTTTGTTATAAAGATATATTGCGTGATTCTGTGGTTGCTGGGTGGAATATTCCGTAGATGGTTATGAGGTCCAGTTGGTCAAGTGTCAAGCTTAAGTCTAGAATTTTCCTGTTAGTGTTCTGAATTTGTATCAATTCTTTATTGAAGAGGAAAAAGATACTTTGTTGTCTAAATTATTTGATGTTTAGTTTTAAAAGTACCCTCAGGAAATTTACTTGAAGTGCATAAAAATAAAGTGGATTAATGGATATATTGAGAGATGGGTAGATGAATAGACACGGGATGGAGGAAATTTACTGAAATAGTAATGTTGAAATCAAGTGATGGCCATATAGATATTCACTATAAAATTATTTCAACATTGCTGTATTTTCAAACTTTCATAAACAGTTCTGGGAAAGAAAATATAACTGAGTATATCCCTGCCTTCAATAGAGCTCAAGTTTAATTTCCTATGCATTCTGCACTTTTAGGATTGTGCCAGAAGTGTCTCTGACTAGCAAGAAAGCAGATAAAACCTTCCTTTATTTACACTGACTAGGCAACAAATATTATATTATATGCCATTGGTAAGATTTCCAACAATAAGAATTTTGCACTCACATGGTTAATCAGAAGTTTGGATAACTAGAATCTTGGCTTCCTGCTACCTGCCCCACAGCCTCTGATATCTGCAGGCTGGTACCAGGGGATTAATTACAGTCAGAGGTGGAAGATGACTCACCGATGTTACTTGTTGCAACAAGAGAAATCATTTTTTCACTTGTGAGTCATACGCCTCTCATAAGCCTCTGGGGAAAGGTACCCTGTCATTGTTAAAATGATTCAGTGTCTTTCCATCCTGTAGGTCTCGGTGACTCTGTGGCCTTTCATGCTTTTTGTGGATCTAGGATGGGAAGAACCCTCATTACAAGAATATCAGTAACTAGAATGTGAATTGGTGTTGCCAGCTTATAAAACCATTGCATTTGTCTTACTTCATGTAATTGTCACAATCATCCTATGATGCACATAGGCCAGGAAATATTATGCATCGCACCTATACAAATGTGGGGATTGAGGTATGAAGCGTGGAAGTGACATGGCCAAGTTCACTGTAGGATACTAAGTTAATAAAATGAAATTAGAGTCTAGATTTCTGACTTCTAATCCAGGCACTCTTACTTGATGTCCAACTAAAAATGCAGACAAATTCTTCCTACCTAATTCTTCCAAGAAGAGTAAAGCTTTAGAGAAAATCGGATCAGGGAAAGCCATTTGAAGATAGCTGTAAAGAAGATGAATTTTCCCTGGCTGGAATTTATGCTACTTCCTTTTACTTTGGATTTCCTGGCATGGGAATTAAAGAGCATTGACTGTGGAGTTAGAGATTCCTGGGTCTGAAACTCCACTCCACCAATTTCTACCTGCAACATCAGGCAAATTGCTTGGCCTCCCTAAGCCTCAGGTTTTATATCTAAAAAATGAGGTTAATTATAGCACCTATGCCCAATGGGCCTGTTTTGAGGATTAAATGCAATAATGCCCATAAAGGGCATATATCAGTACTTATTGATGGTAGATCCTTATAATTAAATAATTTTATCTAGCAATCCTACTTCTGGATATTTATCAAAAAAATTGAAATCAGAATCTCAAAGATATATTAGCATTCTGATGTTCATTGCAACATCATTCACAATAGCCACAATGAGGAAAGAATCTAAATGTCCATCAATGGGTAAATGAATTAAAGATGTGGTGTATACATACAATGGAATATTATTCAGTCTTAAGAAAGAGGAAATCCTGTAATAGCAACAACATAAATTAAACTTAAAGACATGATGCTAAGTGAAATAAGCCAGTCACAGAAGAACAAATACTCTAGGACTCTATTTACATGAGTTATCTAAAATAGTCAAACTCCTTCGGCATAGAAACAAAAAATAGAATGATGGTTGCCAGGGACTGGAGGAAGGGGAAAATGGGAAGTACCAATCAACAGGTATAAAATTTCAGTTATGCAAGATAAATAAGTTCTAGAGATAGACTTCACAATATTGTGCTTATAGAAAACAATACTGTATTGTACACTTAAAAATGTTAATAGGATAGATGTCATAATAAATGTTTTTTTTTTTTTTTTTTTTTTTTTGAGACGGAGTCTGGCTCTGTCTCCCAGGCCAGAGTGCAGTGGTGCGACCTCGGCTCACTGCAAGCTCCGCCTCCCAGGTTCAGGCCATTCTCCTGCCTCAGCCTTCCGAGTAGCTGGGACTACAGGCGTCCACCACCACACCTGGCTAATTTTTTCTTTTTTTGTATTTTTAGTAGAGACGGGTTTCACCATGTTAGCCAGGATGGTCTCGATCTCCTGATCTCGTGATCCGCCCCCCTCAGCCTCCCAAAGTACCGGGATTGCAGGCGTGAACCACCATGCCCGGCTCATAAAAAGTGTTTTTACCATGATAAAATTAAAACAATTCAAAATTAGAATATGGAATTATTCTCATATATTTAATAAAATTTATCTAGTTGGAAGAAATTACATAAACATATTTTTGGAATCAGAAAATTCTTGCAATAAGAGAACTTTAAATGATTTTCTAGGTATATAGTTAAGCTTAAGGTACAGACATAAAAAATGAAGGAGCAGGAGAAGTTTCTTTTGGTGAGTTGTTAAACAAAAGGATGGATTTCCATGAGAGAGGCCAAGGAGGACTTTTTTTGCTGTAGTCCCTTAGAATTAGCATCCATCCATCCATTCATTTCTTCCTCCATTTCGCACATCTTTACTGAGTGTCTCTAACATGTCAAGAAATCCTTGCTTCATGGATATTGCAGGCTAGAGAGGGAGACAAAGAAATTAACACACCACATAAATTAATGTAAAATTATACCCATGGTAATTGCTACAGAGTGTATCACAGGAAGGCTTGACTTAGTGAGGAAGCACTCTGGGATTGTGGATAAAGCTATGCTGAGATGTGATAATAGTGCTGAGATCTGAAAGTGAGTGGCGGATTGACCAGGTGAGATGGAGTGAGGGCAGGGAGTTGACAAAATGGCTCAGCCATTGGGATCAGGAGCAAAGAGCCTGTGGCAGAAAAGAGTGTGAAGACTTGAAGAGATCCAGTGGGCTGAAACAGAGATAGCAAGAGCCAGAGTGGTACAAGGTTGGGTAGTGGCCATGGGGCAGTCTTGGGGTTTGGACTTTATTCCAAGAGTCATGGGAATCCATTGAAGAGTTTCAGATAGGGCTATAACATAACTGCCAGGAGTTATCTAGTTTAAAGAGACATGAGCCTGGTTGATGAAGCCACTTTCATTTCTATGCCCATAAAGCAGAGCCCTATAGCCTGAAGGTTAGAAATAAAATGACCTGCAGGATCAGTCATCTGAATTTAACTCAGTGCTCAGTGGTATTCAAAGCTGTGAAAGCAGTAGGCTTTGGTTCTCCTCCTCTGGAAAGTATATTGAACAAGCAATAAAAATATGGCTAATGCCTCACCAAATGCAAATGCCAGTCACCACAGGGTGAGAGAGAGACATCACTTGAGATAGTGAGTTCAGAAAAATGATCATTTTCATTAACTAACAGCCTACTAAGCAAATTAAAATTTACCTCACTTATACATTTTCATTCTTACCTAGCACCTTTCCCCCACTATGATCCTCATTTTTGTGTCTACTATTCTCTTGCTTCTCTTTATCATGTTACTACATATTTATGAATCCTTAAACAGCACATTGTTTAGTTTGCACATTTTTGTAAACCATAGAAATACAAAGGATCATAAGAGCCTACTGTGAACAACTATGCACAAGCGAATTGAGTAACCTAGAATATATGGATAAATTTCTAGAAACATACAACCTACCAAGACTGAATCATGAAGAAAGAAAATCTGAACAGGTCAATAATGATTAAGGAGAGTGAAGCAGTAATCAAAAACCTCCCAGCAAAGAAGAGCCCAGAATCGGATGGTCTAGCATCTTTTTTGAATTATGAATTTTATGTATTTATTTATTTATTTTAGAGACAGAATCTCTAAAAAAAACAAAACTCTAGTTGCTCAAAAAATCTCTATGTTGCCCAGGCTGGTATTGAACTCCTGGGCTCAAGAGATCCTCCTGCCTTGGCCTCCCAAGTGTTGAGATTACAGATGTGAGCCTGGCCCAAGCACCTTTTTTGAATTGATTTCATGTTTCCTTATATAATCTGTCTAAATCTCCCAACTTTCTTCAGATTACACAGTAACCAAGTCTGTTTGGAGATTTACAAGGTGGGCTATTTATAACACTGAGTGGGGAACACGTTTGAGATAGTAAATTTGCCTAAGGAGAGTCGGGTTGCTATTTCTAAGTAATCAGGAGAACAAGCAGTGCTTGAAAGTCTCTGGTTTGGACCAAGGGAGACAGAAAAAGCGAACCATTGAGCCCGCTCCCACTTGTAACCCTGAATTGAGGCAGGAGAAATCATCTAGAATCCACCAGCAGGAGGAAAATGGGCACTTGCCTGCCTATTATGAAGAGTCTTGAAGTCAAAATAGCTTTTTATTCTTTTCATCTCCTCCCCAACTTTCCTATTTGATATTAGCCATTATCATTTTAATAATGCCACTTCCTCCCAGACAACCAGTTTTTGTTTTCTTAACTTTGACATGTGTGGCTAAGTCCCCAGGAGCTATGAGTGATTTAATGTGTTATTTTCCAGTAGGGGTTTAATTGAGAAACAAACAAAGCTAAAAGAGTATTTTGCAGAGCTTGAAGTAAGGGAATGAATATATACTGGTAGAATTTCAGGCAACAGATAATCCAGTAGCGCCGATTTGCTTGGAGCTGGGGAAGCAAGCTTGCACTATTGTGCTTTCTGCAGCTAAGGTAACCTTGAATAAAAGTATAGACACTAGAGATCAGTATGTTACTAAGAGTATCCACTTATCCTTCTAGCACTAAAACTCTCTTGTGAGAGAGAAAGCCCTCTTGTTCTAAGACATGCTTACCTTGGTGTCAAACTTGAAAACTGCCTTGTCAATGCCTGGGGTTTCCATCAGAGAAAACAAAACTCTTTCTTTCATCAGGGTAACTCAATTACAAGGTACAGTAGTTCTGCATGGTGGGTAGGGAGTAGGCAACAAAATCTTATACTTAAAACGCAGTCTATTCTTTAGTGAAACACAACACATCTTTAAATACAGAACATTAACCTGCTTGATCTGTTGCTATTAGGACTAGATGTAGGAAGTTCTTTTAAGATATTTCATAGACTTTTTATTTTTTCCACTTGGAAAGAAAATGTGTATATGCATTAATGACACATGTGCAGTTACAATAATGAAGATCTGAAGTCAATTTTGAAATATTTTAAGAAATTTTATTGTTAATTATACTCAGTTTTTTAAAGAAAAAGAAGTTCACACATCTGAAAAGAAATAAGTAAAAAGCGTTTGTGCTTCAACAGGAAATTCTTAAACATATGATTCTTTTCTAAGAGCAATTGCACTAATTTCCAAAGTACCCTGTTAGATGGCTCTCTTTTGGCTGACTTCTCCCTATGTCCACTTCATCCATAAAACTTTTGCCTGGTTCTTGTACTTCTGGCCCTTGACTGAGATGATCTGACTAAAGTCTATTGGGAGGACTGAGTTTAAGGTACTAATGAAAAAACAAAAATATTGGGCTCCATTTCCCTTTTGTCACCCTGGTCAATGTCATCTTGTGTTTCCTAGGTTCTTATTTGCAGAGAAGACTTTCAGAGAAGGGGTTATCACATGTGCTTGGGATTCATATTCCTAGAACAGCACAGTCAGGTATACCAGTGGTGATAACTAATTCCCAGTTAAGCAGGGAAGAGCTCCTGCACATGCACCAACCCTCATCAGAGATGCAATTACATGTGTGTCAAGGCTGACATTCGGCATCATGTTTCATAGTAAGCATCCGCCCAGAGGGCAGCAGATTTCTTCAAGGCTCTGTGAAAGGAATAAACAAGATCATCAGGAGGTGAGACTGTAATGTTAAGAAAGCTCCTACATGGAATTTGCTCCTCTGCCTGGTTCAGAACAATGTCATTTCCAGCTATATCTGATAAATGTCATCCTCTGTTGATCAATTCTGTTGACTAAATTGTTTTTAGCAGGTGAATTCACCTTTTCTTTATGGAGAACATTGAGATTTTCTTTCATTTTATTCTTTTCTGAGCCTATATATCTGTAAATCCACCCATCCTATATTTACCTGTCAACCCTATTTTATAATATGGAGGACATTTTTCTAGGCTCTGGTGGGACAACAATGAGTAGGGTGGATGTGAGTCCTGTCCACATGAAATTCCAGGTCTAGCTTGGGAGACACATATTAAATAATTTATTACCCAATATGTTATCTGAATACAATTGTGATAAACTTCACAAATGAAGAGAAGCAGGTGCTGCAAGAGCATGTGACTAATTTAGTTTTAGGGGTCAGAGGAGATAGACATGAGGAAAAGGCATTTGAGTTGAGCCTTGGAGAAAGAATGGCAATTGACAAGATGATGTCAGGGGAGGTGGAGGTTTGGAGGAACATTCCAGGCAGAAGAAAAAGTGGCAAAAGAATAAGACAACTAGGGAAGGGAGTTTCACAGCAACTTAAGGTAGGCTAATTGCATTAATTTCTGGAGGAAATTATCTGGAGGATAGAGAAAGAGGAGGAGTGTGGTAGAGAGTCTGGAGCTGGAGCACTGGTTAGGGATCAGATCAGATCAGATCAGGCCTGGCCTTGTTGGTCTCATTTAAGATTGTTTTTTTTCAACCCTAAACTAAAGAGAAATTTATTAAACCCAGGTTACTGGTTGTTAATTTAACCAGCACAACATTCTTTAGGAAATTGTATATGAATGCCTAAGGATGAGTATGGATTTTCAGTTTCTGCATGCCTCACTACTCTTAATTAATCACCCCAGCCTGAGCTGCACATTTATACCCCACTGAACCCTGCAGGCATCTAAATTTGCAACACTGGACCAGATGATCTGACAGTGTCTCCCACTACTTAAATTCTAACATTTGTAGGAAGCTCTGTGGGGGATAAAAAGGCAAATAATATACAGCCTTGACTTTAAGAAATTTGAAATTTAGTAGGACAGTAAAGCATTTTCGCTAAGCTGTACCTATAGGTAAAAGGTCAGTATTATTATTATTTTGTTGTTGTTGATACGGTTCCCTATGGTGCCATGTATCCATGCTGAGCACACAGGTGACCCTTAATAAATGGTTGTTATATGAATGATTCACAAGCCACTGAATAGTCTGGGGAGTGGCAGTAAATACAAATGAGAGCTGTGAGCTGAGAGAAATTATGTTATTACCTGACAATATCTCCAAATGCCCTCAACATGGGTTTATTCACATAGTGCAATCCGTGCTTGGCACACAGTGACCTCACCAGAGGCGCCACTTTGTGATAATTATGGCGTGGCATTGTGGGGAACAGACTGGAGAAACACACAAGAGATATAAAATTTAGACCTAAAGAAAAACTTTGAGTTTTCTTCCTTCTGTTACCAAATAAAACTATATCAGCAATGCAGACCCAACCTTGACCTTGCACAATACTGCTGTTCTGGGAAGTTCAAAAACTCCTTCCAAAATACGCTTGTCTCTTAACACCTCTGCAAGCCAGGTGGGTGGTGAATGTTTGGGAAATGCTAACAGAATAAATGTTATCTTCATCGAATATGTTTATATTTGGCCAGTTCAGATGAAGGTATGGATTGTCTATCACTTTGAATTACCTAGGGGAGCTGAAGATACCCCTGTCCTCCTTCTCTGTCTCTGTCTTTGTGTCTCTCTTTCTCTCTATCCATCTGATATGGTTTGGCTGTGCCCCCACCCAAATCTCAACTTGAATTATATCTCCCAGATTCCCACGTGTTGTGGGAGGGACCCAAAGGAAGGTAATTGAGTCATGGGGGCCAGTCTTTCCCATGCTATTCTCATGATAGTGAATAAGTCTCACGAGATATGATGGGTTGATCAAGGGTTTCTGCTTTTGCTTCTTCCTCATTTTCTCTTGCCACTGCCATGTAAGAAGTGCCTTTTGCCTCTCGCCATGATTCTGAGGCCTCCCCAGCCATTTGGAACTGTAAGTCCAATTAAGCCCCATTTTCTTCCCAGTCTCGGGTATGACTTTATCAGCAGTGTGAAAACAGACTAATACAGTAAATTGGAACCAGAAGTGGGATGTTGCTGAAAAGATACCTCAAAATGTGGAAACGACTTTGGAACTGGGTAACAGGCACAGGTTGGAACAGTTTGGATGGCTCAGAATAAGGCAGGAAAATGTGGGAAAGTTTGGAACTTCCTAGAGACTTGTTGAATGGCTTTGCCCAAAATGCTGATAACGATATGGACAATAAGGTCCAGGCTGAGGTGGTCTCAGATGAAGATCAGGAACTTCTTGGGAACTGGAATAAAGGTGACTCTCGTTATGTTTTAGCAAAGAGACTAGGTGGAGGTTCCCAAACACCATCTAATTCCTATCCCATGAAGAGATGAATATTCAATAAGTTCTAGTCATGGCATATAGGAAAAAGTCCTGGGATAGGAATAAGGAGTGAGGAGATACGGGTTTTTATCTAAGGTTTTCCACTAATCACCCAGGTGACTTTCTTGGGTTTTAACTTCCTCTTGATAAAATGTGAATAATAGTCTTTTTTTGTTTGGCTGAGGTTTTTAAGGAATAACTTGAAGGAAAGGATGAGAAAATTATATGAGCAGGTATAAGAACTCTTTCCTTCTCTGACTATCCTAAACATGGCTTAGGTAAAGAGGATGTGGACAGTCTCTCCCTTAAATATTCTGGAGATTGACTCTCCAAGTGTTATCATTTTCTCTTTATTTTATGGCCACCTAACTGACTCATTGGTAAAGTATTGCCAATACCATTTGAATATTGCATCAGGGAATGGGTTTTATCATTGATTATTTTGTAACTTCAGATCTAAAGAGATAGACATTTAAATTAAATTTCAACACAACTTGGTTACCCACTTCTCAAGCCTGCAGGTATCTGAAAATGGAATCAGTGGCACTTTTCCAAGATTTCACTCTAGTTACTCACAATCAATCTTTCTTTCTCTTTCTTTCTTTCTTTTTTCTTTCTTTCTTTCTTCCTTTCTTTCTTCCTTTCTTTCTTTCTTTCTTTCTTTCTTTCTTTCTTTCTTTCTTTCTTTCTTTTTCTTTCTTTCTATCTCTCTCTCTCTTTCTTTCTTTCTTTTTCTTTTTTACTTTCTCTTTCTCTCTCTCTCTCCTTCCTTCCTTTCTTCCCCATCATTGCTAATAGAAAGATAGCAGCCTGTAGAAAATGCTCTTTCTTTTTTTCCCCTCTGAGACCTTGAGCCTAGGGCCTGATCTGGATTATATTTGGGGGTGTTATAAGTGACTGCACTTGCTCTACTAAGGACTATTCTTGTTACTCACTGGTGCTCGATTTGGAAGTTCAGGTGCCCAGTGAATCAGTCATTGAAAAAGGACTATTCAGTATTACAGGTGGCCAAGACCTGCAAAGAAAAAGCTTATATTAGTTATAAATGAGCCCAAGTGTCAAACAATTGGAGGCATAGTTTCTATAATTCTTTACTGCTCAGGAGTCATGTGGCCAGAGGTGACAGGATTTGTGACTTTCCCAATTGTGCTTGTAGATAATATCACTATTATAGAACCTAAGATTAATTTTTTGAGATGTTTTTCAGACTGTCCCCACTTGGACCCATGCATGACTCATGACTCGATGGGTCCTGTGGCCCCACCCAAAGGTGGACTGGGAACATTTTCCACACCCCTATAATTTCTTCCCCAACCAGTCAACTAGCACCCATTTCCTAGCCCTCTTCCCATCAAATTGTCCATTGATACAGTTTGCCTGTGTTCCTACTCAAATCTCATCTTGAATTATAATCCCCATAATCCCCATGTCAAGGGAGGGACCTGGTTCTAAGTCAGTGTGGTTTGAAAGATTCTCCCCCAGGAACTCCATCATTACCTGAGTGGTGAGCCAGTCCCGGTTCTCCTCTGTGCTCATTCTCATTGTTATGTGGCTCATCTGGGTAACATATACAATCCAAGGACTTTCAAGAAACCTTTTGGAGGAATAAAAGGAGGGAGTGATGACTGTTTGGGGTGTTTCAGTAGCAAGCACTGGACTTGCATAACCCCTAGTAGAGCTGGTTGATCATTGGAGGAAATGAAAGAGACTCAAAGTTTCCAGTAAAATGGTGGTCTTTCTTTTTCTTATTTGAAAGATCTTTATATCAAGAGATGACACTCTAAGCATTCAGCCACATGACTGCCAAATGTATAGGAGCAGAGCCTCTAAAGTTTTCTGTAGCTCTAGTGCAAAGATCAAAACCACTAGGGAAATTTAAGGGCATATGCAAACTGGTTGACAGCCTAGGCTTTGTCCTCAGATAAGAGGTGGATTCAAGTTCTGTTTTGGCATTGGCCTTGGCTCTTACTTGCTCTTACATGCCCTTGGGCATATGATTTAATCTCCTTAAACTTCAGTTCCTTTAGCAGAAAAATGACCATGATACTATCTACACTGCAGAGTTGTGTGAGGATTAAATCAAATAAGATAATGCACGTAAAGCCTTTAACAAAGTGTCTGATGCATAGTAGCTACAATTATTCTTATAATTATTTAGGACTTAGAATAACGTGGCAACAGAATGAGGGAAGATTACATTGGAAAACTGGAGAGGACTATTCAAGCAAAAATGCGTTGGAAGTCGTTTTGCTTTGGGAAAACCTCTAGTCATAAAAGAACTTAAAAAAAAATCCTTCCCTGTCATTCTTTGGTAGGGATTACTATGTCTACCTAGATTACAATTTTAAGGACTTAGGGTTCAACTGAAATGCTTCAATTAGGAATCCAGGAAGTGGGTAAAAAATGGAGATTGGGCAAATTTTTTTTGCAAAGAGCTCGTCTTATTCAACTATTTCAACTTTTTTTTTTCACATTTGCTTAAAAACACCCCAGCTGCAAGAAATGGGGCATGATGTCATAATCTAATCTCTCTTAAAGCTAATGACAAATAGCTCTGATAGGGAAAGGATGAGGATCTTCTGGATTACTGGAATAAAATAGTATTCTTACTTGACCAAATATATGAGCAACATGGTCCCGAAGATTCCATAGTAAAGGCCAAATGTGATGAAATATCAGATGTAAAAGCTGCTAACCCAGGTGATGTCTTGCAGAGAAAAGCACTTGAAAGTTATACACCCTGAACATGATTTCATTTCCTCTTCATTGGCCTGGGATCCCTTCATGTTCTGGCTAAATCTTATGCCCTGTTATTCAAGGAAGCTGTATCTGGAGAGGACACAGCATTTTCATTTTCCCTCTTCTACTTGGTCTAGTTTCGGAGAATGAGCCACATTACTCACCACCCAATATCTTTGGAGGTACATCGCTTGCATGGATGGCAGTTTGAGATATACTGGCATGAAGAGTGGGAGCCAAACTGAAACAGAACAAAAAATGATGCTGAATAAATAAACAAAATGTGTTCATGTGTATTTAATGTTTAGCTCCCACTTAGAAGTGAGAACATGCAGTGTTTGGTTTTCTGTTCCTGCGTTAGTTCACCTAGGATAATGGCCTCCATCTCCATCCATGTTGCTTCAAAGGACGTTATCTTATTCTTTTGAATGGATGTGTAGTATTCCATGGTATATACGTACCACATTTTATCTAAGCAGTCTACCACTGATATGCATTTAGGCTGATTCCATGTCTTAGCTATTGTGAGTAGTGATGCCTCCCGAGACACACAATTTATCTGTATAACAAACCTGCACATGTATCCTTGAAACTAAAATAAAAGTAAAAAAAAAAAAAGGAAAATCACCAGTAATCTTACTACCCAGATACTACCATAAATATTTTGAATATAGATATATTAATATATGTTCTAAAAATTGGTATTATGCTACCTGTAGTACTGTTTTTTACACTATCTTTAAAAAGAAAACATATCATGACCATCTTCCCATTTCTCTAAATATTTTCCAGCATCTTTTTTTTAAATTATACTTTAAGTTCTGGGATACATGTACAGAACGTGAAGGCTTGTTACATAGGTATACACGTGCCATGGTTGTTTGCTGCACCCATCAACCCATCATCTACATTAGGTTGTTCTCCTAATGTTATCCCTCCCCTAACCCCCAACCCACAAACAGCCCCTGGTGTGTGATGTTCCTCTTCCTGTGTCCATGTGTTCTCATTGCTCATCTCCCACTTATGAGTGAGAACATGCAGTATTTGGTTTTCTGTTCCTGTGTTAGTTTGCTGAGAATGATGGTTTTCAGCTTCACCCATGTCCCTGCAAAGGACATGAACTCATCCTTTTTTATGGCTGCATAGTATTCCACAGTAAATATGTGACACATTTTCTTTATCCAGTCTAACATTAATGGGCTTTTGGGTTGGTTCCAAGTCTTTGCTATTGTGAATAGTGTTGCAGTAAACATATGTGTGCATGTGTCTTTACAGTAGAATGATATATAATCCTTTGGGTATATACCCAGTAATGGGATTGCTGGGTCAAATGGTATTTCTGGTTCTAGATCCTTAAGGAATCACCACACTGTCTTCCACAATGATTGAACTAATTTACACTCCCAACGACAGTATAAAAGCATTTCTATTTCTCCACATCCTCTCCAGCATCTGTTGTTTCCTGCTTTTTTAATGATTGCCATTCTAACCGGCATGAGATGGTATCATATTGTGGTTTTGATTTGCATTTCTCTAATGACCAGTGATGTTGAACTTTTTTTTTCATATGTTTGTTGGCCACATAAATGTCTTCTTTTGAGAAGTGTCTGTTCATATCATTTGCCCAATTTTTGGTGGGGTTGTTTGTTTTTTTCTTGTAAATTTGTTTAAGTTCCTTGTAGATTCTGGATATTAGCCCCTTGTCAGATGGATAGATTACAAAATTTTTCTCCCATTCTGTAGGTTGCCTCTTCACTCTGATGATAGTTTCTTTTGCTGTACAGAAGCCCTTTAGTTTAATTAGATCCCATTTGTCAATTTTGGCTTTTGTTGCCATTGCTTTTGGTGTTTTCGACATGAAGTCCTTGCCCATGCCTATGTCCTGAATGGTATTGCCTAGGTATGTCCTGAATGGTATTGCCTAGGTTTTCTTCTAGGGTTTTTATGGTTTTAGGTCTTACATTTAAGTCTTTAATCCATCTTGAGTTAATGTTTGTATAAGGTGTAAGGAAGGGGTCCAGTTTCAGTTTTCTGCATATGGCTAGCCAGTTTTCCCAACACCATTTATTAAATAGGGAATCATTTCCCCATTGCTTGTTTTTGTCAGGTTTGTCAAATATCAGAAGGTTGTAGATGTGTGGCATTATTTCTGAGGCCTCGGTTCTGTCCCATTGGTCTATATCTCTGTTTTCATACCAGTACCATGCTGTTTTGGTTACCATAGTATAGTTTGGTATACTTGTAGTATAGTTTGAAGTCAGGTAGTGTGATGCCTTCAGTTTTGTTCTTTTTGCTGAGGATTGTCTTGGCTATATGGGCTTTTTTTAAATTTACAGTAGTTTTTTCTAATTCTGTGAAGAAAGTCAATGGTAGCTTGATGATGATACTGTTGAATCTGTAAATTACTTTGGGCAGTATGGCCATTTTCATGATATTGATTCTTCCTATTCATGAGCATGGTATATTTTTACACTTGTTTGTGTCCTCTTTTATTTCCTTGAGCAGTGCTTTGTAGTTCTCCTTGAAATGATCCTTCACGTTCCTTGTAAGTTGTATTCCTAGGTATTTTATTATCTTTGTAGCAATTGTGAATGGAAGTTCACTCATGATTTGGCTTTCTGTTTGTCTGTTATTGGTGTATAGGAATGCTTGTGGTTTTTGTACGTTGATTTTGTATCCTGAGACTCTGCTGAAGTTGCTGATCAGCTTAAGGAGATTTTGGGCTGAGATGATGGGGTTTTCTAAATATATAATCATGTGATGTTCAAACAGAGACACTTTGACTTCCTCTCTTCCAATTTGAATTCCTTCTTTCGCTTGATTGCCCTGGCCAGAAACTTTCAATACTATGTTGAATAGGAGTGGTGAGAGAGGTTGTCTTGTGCCAATTTTCAACGGGAATACTTCCAGCTTTTGCCCATTCAAATTGATATTGGCTGTGGGTTTGTCATAAATAGCTCTTATTATTTTGAGATACTTTCCATCAATACCTAGATTATTGAGAGTTTTTAGCATAAAGGGGTGTTGAATTTTATCAAAGGCCTTTTCTGCATCTATTGAGACAATCGTGGTTTTTGTCATTGGTTCTGTTTATGTGGTGGATTACATTTATTTATTTGCATATGTTGAACCAGCCTTGAGTCCCGACTTGATCTTGGTGGATAAGCTTTTGGATGTGCTGCTGGATTTGGTTTGCCAGTATTTTACTACGGATTTTCGCACTGATGTTCATCAGGGATATTGTCCTAAAATTTTCTTTTTTTGTTGTGTCTCTGCCAGTTTTTGGCATTAGGATGATCCAGCATCTGTTTTGTAATTACTGTGTTGTATTTTTATAATGTACTTAATACATTTATTTAATAAATCCAGTAAATATATTTAATTAAAAAATGTGACCCCAATGCAAGTCAGCAGGAGTCTATCTCCTTAATGCAGCGTTCCTGGAATGCTGGCCCCAAGGAAAGATGCAAGGTGGAGATCCACAGCCTCATCCTGGACTGCACTGGGCATTTCAAGTCTAAAAGGCTGGGCTAGGAATTTGGTTAGTAGCTCCAGGTTCAAGCTGCCTCAAAGAAGCGAGGAAAGCTTGGGAGATTTGAGTCATTTTTGATGAAAGCATCCCTGAAGAGCTTCTGCTATCAGCTTTCAAGTTTTTTCAAGGTACTTGGAGTCCTTCAGTCTCCCTGGATCTTTGGGATTTAGCCCCATTACAGTGTGTTGAGGTGTCAGTGATAAAGAAGGTATACTCATTTCCTGGTCAGAGTTATTTACCTGCCTCTCTCCCAGCATCATTGAGGCTTCCCAGGCACAGAGGATCCTTAAGGACATCCCCTGGCTTTTGACAAAGGCTGTCTCCCTGGTCGAACTTTAGTTAGGATCCTCTGAGCCCTCTTCTTGACTAGGCCTCAACCTTGGCCTACGAGAATTGCAGACTCTCAGCACAAATGATTTCATCCACTCTCCAAACTAAGAAACTTGAACAAACACTAGCATAGTTTCTCAAAGCTCAAGGCCATCTCTCTGGGGTAATCCCAGCATCCTTGATGTTTTTACCTGAGAAAGCTCAATGCTGCCAAAATAATTTACTGTTTATTCTGGCCAGTATCTGACTATAGGCACCTGACACCCCTTTTTCTTAGAGCATTTACTTTAGGACACTGACAATTGTAAATCCTTTGTGTCTTCCTTTGAGATGTAGCTTCTATACTCCAGAAATGTATTTCTCAGGGGCCTGGTAACAATCCCTTTGAAATCTAGCCATCAAGAAGGCTGGGGCTGTTATCTGTCAGTCTATTTGGGAGGATAGGAGCCAAACTTTGATAAGTACCAGTTAGCAGACACAGACAGCCTGGACAAATCTTATCAACCAACTCCTCCACCCCCTACCCCATCTCCCAGTGTCTTTCAGTACTTTTCCTTTAGTATGTTCCAGCATTTAAAAGCCTCTCTCTCACTTTTGCGTCAGGAGAATTAAGCTCAGTTTATGGTGAAGTCTCTCTCCCCTAGTGCAATTGCCTGAATATAATTTGTCTTGCTGCCTTTAACAAATGTCTGGTTTTGTTTCTTTTTGACAGTTTGAGTATGACTCATTTGCACCCGAGATGTTAAGCTAGCATTTGCCGGGAAAGGCCACAATAAAACAGCTCTTGGTGGTGGCAGTGTGGTTTGTGAGGTGGGCATTTTGCAGTGAATTCACACCATTCCCTCATTTCTCATAAGGGAAGGGCATATTGCCCCACTACAGACAGGGGAGGTAAACACATGTTTCTCAGGAAAGTTCACAGAAGAAAGTCCAACAGCATTTTCTTATGCAAACACACATCTACTTAGGCTGGGAATCGGCTACCTTTTAAAAATGGGGCGCCAATGAGAACACATGGACGCAGGAAGAGGAACATCACACACCGGGGACTGTTGTGGGGTGGGGTTAGGGGGGAGGGATAACATTAGGAGAGATACCTAATGCTAAATGACGAGTTAATGGGTGCAGCACATGGCACATGTATACATATGTAACAAACCTGCACGTTGTGCACATATACCCTAAAACTTCAAGTATAATAATAATAATTAAAAAATAAATAAATAAAAATAAATAAAAATGGGGCACCAATGTCCTCATTCCTCTTTCAGGTTATGCAAGAGAAGCGGGGCAGGTGAGAGTGCAGGATCGGGGAGGCTGAATTCCAACTGTGGAGGAGCCAGCAGTGATGGTCAATCTCACACTTCAAAAAATTTGCCCCCTGCTGTCCTCCTCTGGCATGATAGGTGTGTGGCCTACACGTGGGCAAATCAGATCATCTGCAACGGTGTTTCTCAACCCCAGCACTGCTGGCAATTTGGGTGAGATGATTATTTTTATAAGGGGCTGTCCTTTGCATCGCGGAATGTTTAGCAGCATCCCTGGCTTCTATCCACTGACTGCCAATACGTTCCCTCTTCCTCTGTTGCGATAACCAAAAAAATGTCTTTAGACTGCCTCTGGGAGGCAAAATTGCTCGGGTTGAGAACAACTGGATTACAGGAAATGTTTGGTTCCTTCCCTGATTTTGGTTTAACCCCCAGATGTATGTTTTAGTTGGGCAGATTTGGGGGTTTCTTTTTTTTGTGAGCTGCTATGAGTTTGATATTGGTTAAGAGCAAAGGCTCTTTGCTTATGATGTTCTTTTACTGGTATCAGATTTACTCAGCTACCTTTATTTTCCTTCACACTTGACCCACATGCCCACACTCAGATATATATGTCTCATGCCTTCCCACAGCTGTATGCAGGTCATGGGAGCAGACAGCTTTCTTCCACACAAGAGCACTGCAGATGCCCTTTATTTCCCGGCCTCTCCATTTCCGGTGTCACACTGCAAATGCTTCAGATTTATTTCCCCATGTCTACTTCCTTCCTACACAAACACCATTATTCTTTTCTCTTGATAGATGTTTGGTCTTTCCAGAATGACAGTCCTAGATGCAGGCCCCTTGACTGGCAGCCTGCCTTCCCTCCCTCGTTGGGTATCTCCTTCCTTCCCCATCCAACTCTTAGAATGATGAGGTGCCCTTTAAAAAGGCTGTTTACTTTTCCATTTCCCTTTGCCGATTTCCACCCCAGTGAGTATAAATAAGACATTCTGCTTTGCTCAGTAGCAATAGGACATGGGCTGGTCTCTGTGAGAGCATTCCAATCGGCCTTCTCCCTTGACAAGTACTTGCTTCAAGTAAATGGGATACAAGGAATGTGGCTCTGGGAGACTCACCTTTGTAGAAGTACAGGTGCTGCTCTTCATAGTTGATGTATTTGATTTTCTTCTTGCCGTACTGAATAGAGAGATAATAAAACTAAAATAAGAGACCATACTTCTGGTCATCACACTCGAGGATGCATGTGTATGTGTGTGTGTGTATGTGTGTGTGTGCACATGCATGTGTGTATGTCTAAAATCTTTATGGGAAGAGCCATCTGATCACTGTTCATCGGCTTTCAAGTCTGAGGAACTAGAAGAACCAGAACCAGGATGGGAGGAAATATTGTGGCAACTTTTTGCTTCAATTATATGTGGGTAATTCTGGCACAAATGGAATATTCCATTTGACTGTAGGAATTGTGATCATTTTTTTGTTCTTATGGGAATCATTTTGAATTTTTTTCTTTTTATGTGAGGTGGAATGGTCACTGAAATGGGACATTTCAGAGTTTTTCTTGTGCTTCTTCAACTATGGCATTTAGGATTCTGCTCCATATTCATTCATTCATCCAACAGATGTATGATTCATTCATCACAGTCAAGAATTTTCTTTTAAATTCATTCATCCGAAAGATACTAAATGGTAATATGATAGAAGATATAGTTGTGGCCTCTCCTGTCTGTCTCATCTTTCTTCTTTGTGTTCTCATCATGGAAATCACACTATCATTTATTATTTTAGCACATGATGACAGCACATATAATATCTATTATACATTATATAATTACAGTATAATAATATAATTATAATATTACATTCACTACTGAAAATGTGATTCATTTTCTAGGAGTCTCCTTAGTTAATCTGGCATATATTCAGGGCACAAAGCAAATGCTTTGAAAGGAGGATAGAAGTAATGATTATATCTCTAGTATCTGGCAGACACTCAATAAATGTTTATTGAAGGAATTAACGAATGAATGATAATTCATACTCACTCTGTATTTTTGCCCTTCAGTTACAACTCTGGGCAGTGTTTGACTCTTGCTTTCTCCTTTCCTTTGATATCTTTCCTCCTATGTATAGATTTCTTCTTGTATTTGGATTGTATAGTTGGTCCTTCCTTCTCTTATTGTCAAAAATTACAAAAAAATCATAGTGATAAAGTAATAATAGCTATTTGCAGTTATTCCTAAACCTTTAAATATTTTAGGAACAGGAAACATGGTAAAGGGACTAGTTGGAAATGCGTGGGAGTGGACAAACAGTAATGGACAGATTTTGAGTATCACCTTAAAGGAGGATTCGGTCTTCCAGGATATAAGCACAGGACATAGAAGAATATAAATGCTTGCTGAAGAAACTTAACATTTGAATAAAGTATTAGAAAGGCAGACAGTAAAGAAGGAAGAAAGGAAAAGCCCAGGGCTGATTAGAAATGTTTTTGATGTGAAACTACTGAATTTTAGAGTTTAAATAAATAATTGTAAGTAATGTCTTCTGCAGTGGCTTTGAAATTATGTTATATAGAACTCTAAGGTTTTAGGGATGTCCCAGGAGCAGCTTCAGAACTTGGAGAGGTAGCCTCTATTGTTTGTGAAGAGGTAGCATGTGTGCTGAAAATAGCTCTATAGAAGGCATGTCTGAACTCAAGCTGCTTCATGAACTTCCCTGAGACAAACTCCCTTGCTCTCTAGGGGGAAGGGGAGATATGAGGGGACAATTGGAGAAATCAATACTTCAGAATTCTAATGATGATCATAGAAACCCACAAACATCAGGGAAGTCCAATGTGTTTGTGGAATCATTGTCAAAAGCAACTGATTTGTGATCACAGCACCAAGAATTTTTTCAAAGCAAGAGACCTTGTTTTCTATTTCAGCTAGGGAAAAGGGTGAGTCTCCCAAAGATGAAAAAAACTACTTTCAAAAAGTTGCACAATTTTTGGTTAATGTACCAGACAGGCAACAACTGAGAAGGCTATATCGTTTTATTTTTATAAAACTCCTAGTTTTTCTAGGAGATAGCAAACTCTTCCCAAGTACCTGACTCTCAGGTACTTCATTTGAGGGGAGGCACTTTTCTTTGGTTATCCTTATATCTCCTATGCTTAAGAAATACTCCCTCCTAAAAATCTCGGTAATTGACATTGTCCTTTACATGATGGTTTTAAGTTGGAGTTTTTTTTTTTATTTTTTTTTTTATACTTTAAGTTTTAGGGTACATGTGCACATTGTGCAGGTTAGTTACATATGTATACATGTGCCGTGCTGGTGCGCTGCACCCACTAACTCGTCATCTAGCATTAGGTATATCTCCCAATGCTATCCCTCCCCCCACCCCACCACAGTCCCCAGAGTGTGATATTCCCCTTCCTGTGTCCATGTGATCTCATTGTTCAATTCCCACCTGTGAGTGAGAATATGTGGTGTTTGGTTTTTTGTTCTTGCGATAGTTTACTGAGAATGATGATTTCCAATTTCATCCATGTGCCTACAAAGGACGTGAACTCATCATTTTTTATGGCTGCATAGTATTCCATGGTGTATATGTGCCACATTTTCTTAATCCAGTCTATCATTGTTGGACATTTGGGTTGGTTCCAAGTCTTTGCTGTTGTGAATAGTGCTGCAATAAACGTACGTGTGCATGTGTCTTTATAGCAGCATGATTTATATTCCTTTGGGTATATACCCAGTAATGGGATGGCTGGGTCAAATGGTATTTCTAGTTCTAGATCCCTGAGGAATCGCCACACCGACTTCCACAATGGTTGAACTAGTTTACAGTCCCACCAACAGTGTAAAAGTGTTCCTATTTCTCCACATCCTCTCCAGCACCTGTTGTTTCCCGACTTTTTAATGATTGCCATTCTAACTGGTGTGAGATGGTATCTCATAGTGGTTTTGATTTGCATTTCTCTGATGGCCAGTGATGATGAGCATTTTTTCATGTGTTTTTTGGCTGCATAAATGTCTTCTTTTGAGAAGTGTCTGTTCATGTCCTTCGCCCACTTTTTGATGGGGTTGTTTGTTTTTTTCTTGTAAATTTGTTTGAGTTCATTGCAGATTCTGGATATTAGCCCTTTGTCAGATGAGTAGGTTGCGAAAATTTTCTCCCATTTTGTAGGTTGCCTGTTCACTCTGATGGTAGTTTCTTTTGCTGTGCAGAAGCTCTTTATTTTAATTAGATCCCATTTGTCAATTTTGTCTTTTGTTGCCATTGCTTTTGGTGTTTTAGACATGAAGTCCTTGCCCATGCCTATGTCCTGAATGGTAATGCCTAGGTTTTCTTCTAGGGTTTTTATGGTTTTAGGTCTAACGTTTAAATCTTTAATCCATCTTGAATTGATTTTTGTATAAGGTGTAAGGAAGGGATCCAGTTTCAGCTTTCTACATATGGCTAGCCAGTTTTCCCTGCACCATTTATTAAATAGGGAATCCTTTCCCCATTGCTTGTTTTTCTCAGGTTTGTCAAAGATCAGATAGTTGTAGGTATGCGGTGTTATTTCTGAGGGCTCATGATTATCTCAATAGATGCAGAAAAAGCCTTTGACAAAATTCAACAACCCTTCATGCTAAAAACTCTCAATAAATTAGGTATTGATGGGACGTATTTCAAAATGATAAGAGCTATCTATGACAAACCCACAGCCAATATCATACTGAATGGGCAAAAACTGGAAGCATTCCCTTTGAAAACTGGCACAAGACAGGGATGCCCTCTGTCACCACTCCTATTCAACATAGTGTTGGAAGTTCTGCACAGGGCAATTAGGCAGGAGAAGGAAATAAAGGGTATTCAATTAGGAAAAGAGGAAGTCAAATTGTCCCTGTTTGCAGACGACATGATTGTATATCTAGAAAACCCCATTGTCTCAGCCCAAAATCTCCTTAAGCTGATAAGCAACTTCAGCAAAGTCTCAGGATACAAAATCAATGTGCAAAAATCACAAGCATTCTTATACACCAACAACAGACAAACAGAGAGCCAAATCATGAGTGAACTCCCATTCACAATTGCTTCAAAGATAATAAAATACCTAGGAATCCAACTTACAAGGGATGTGAAGGACCTCTTCAAGGAGAACTACAAACCACTGCTCAAAGAAATAAGAGGATACAAACAAATGGAAGAACATTCCATGCTCATGGGTAGGAAGAATCAATATCGTGAAAATGGCCATACTGCCCAAGGTAATTTACAGATTCAATGCCATCCCCATCAAGCTACCAATGACTTTCTTCACAGAATTGGAAAAAACTACTTTAAAGTTCATATGGAACCAAAAAAGAGCCCGCATCGCCAAGTCAATTCTAAGCCAAAAGAACAAAGCTGGAGGCATCACACTACCTGACTTCAAACTATACTACAAGGCTACAGTAACCAAAACAGCATGGTACTGGTACCAAAACAGAGATATAGATCAATGGAACAGAACAGAGCCCTCAGAAATAAGTTGGAGTTTTAAAAAGTAATAATTAACTGAGAAATTCTGAAGATGGTTTTCCCCCTCCTTTTTTCTGTTGTTTAAGAAGCTCAAATTAGAGGTGAGACCTGTAGATCTCTTCCATGGCATTTGGGCTGTAGTTCATGTGTAAATGCACCAAAATGAACATGAACTAAATATAACAGCATAGTCTTTTCTAACTGGGCTAGAATTAGTTGAGATAACTAGCTATGTGAACGTATGTGACCTAGTGCTTATTGAATATATTGACCTATATTCTCTCAGTGAATGTTTCTCCATGCCCTGTTTAAACCTCAGACAGTCATTGCAACTTCAGTCATCTGGTTCCACGATCTAACATTGGCTTGTATTGCCTCAGAGGAAATGACAGGCACTGGGCAGGGACCCATCTGTCACTGGGATTGCTCAGAGTAATGTGGATTTCCATATTTCCTGCCGTGGGAGGTTGGACTGGATGATCTGTAAGGTCATAGACTTAATGGTTACGGCTCTAAATCGCCTTGTATTCTTACAGCCCCAGATTCAGTTATTTCAAATCTGTATTTTGAACCTAAAAGAAGGAGAGATGTTCTCAGATTGTGTGTGAAGCCAGAATTTCCAGCTTGATCTTTCCAAGGCAAGGCTGTAAGCCTTTCCACGAACCACTTCCAGGAACATTTCCTCGGTGCTCAAGATTTCTAAGTGTACCTTGACAGGTTGTGAATCTCCAAGGAGAAAAAGTGGGTCCGTGTCAATATCTGGGTCTTTGGGGTAGATGTTCGGCTTTACGTGTTGTTCAAAGTGCCAGTAATTCCACCGGTCTGCTGACAGGCCCTGAGGAGAAGAGCGGGCTCGTTATTTGAAATAATTCTTTCCTGAAATACCCTTCACTGTCAGAGTTTTCTGCATGCATCCCCAAAGTCAAAATAAGATATTTGAGTTTCTCTAGCTTGCCTCCACTGCTGAGCCACAGCATGACTCATCGGACAGAGGCGCTCATAGCTTACAAAGAAATAATTCTCTGATCCAGAAACACAACTTTAGGCTAAAAGTCTTGGTAAGGAAAATCGTAAAAGCTGGTTGAAAAGAAATGTTTTCCCATCCTTGTCTTATCTGATCTTCATTAAAATAAATCTGAAGGTAGCTGGGGCAGAGAGTATTTTTTCTATTTTACATATAAAGAAGACTTAGCTCCGAGACTTTAATTAGTTCTGGGGAAAAAGATGCGGCCCCAGGTATCTTACTTCAATGAGTGTTTCAAAGAATCATGGATCTGAAGTGATCTCCCTGGGGGTCTTGGCTCAGATCCTTGCATGTCCCGGCTTCAATGCTGTCATACAAAAATAAATGAGAATAAAAAGATTTTAGCACATGCCAATCTTGAGTCACCTCTGATTAGGTTTTTGTGTTTTTTTTTCTTTTTTAATCATAGAAAGTCTGAAATTTTAATAGAGCAAAGAATTTGGAGGCATATCAACCTAGTTACCTATGCTGGATGTATAAATACTGCTGCATCGTTTCGGCAAATCACCCAACCTCTTTGAGGCTCAGTTCTATCTCCGGTAAATAACATAAGGACATTTACCTCCGTGGGTGGTCTGGGGAGTTATGAGATGACGTATGTAAAATGTTGGCATATTCAGTTTTTCCTCCTTTATGTTAATCATTTACAGAAGAATGAGCAGCAGTAGTAGTTTTTATTGCATATTTCACATAGCTTAGCAAGCAGTCTATACATGTTCTAGTCTGCTCTGTCCAATGCAATAGCCATTAACACATGTGGCTATTGAGCACTTGAAAAGCGACCGAATAAAGACAAGCTGTAAGTATAAAATACCTACTGGATTTTGAAGATTCAGTATGAAAAAAGGAATGTAAAATATTTCATCAATAACTTTTACATTGATTACATGTTGAAATAATACTGTTTTGAATATATATGGAGTAATAAACTTACCTTTTAAATATGACTATTGAAAAATTTAAAATGCATATGTCATTTTAATATGGTGCATTATATTTCTGTTGGAGAATGCTGGTCTGGATATCATACATCTATAGTAGAAGGGGATGGCTCTTTATTTGAAAACCTGTAAGCATTAGCATTGTCTTTCCATAGTCTTCTTTGCAGTTGTTTCTTAGCAACCCCCATCGCATCCCCAGTTAACACTCCCTAACCTTGCAATCCTCCAGCCTGACTCTCTATCCTGAATCTTATGCCTGAATGGGGACTTTCCAAATATATATATATTTAGATCTCTCTCTCTCTCTCTACCCCCCACCCAGAATGGGGGGACAGAAATTGTTAAGTGTAGTTTGTGACACATTGAGCTTGAGTATCATGAAATATCATATATATATGATATATATGTGATATATATGATATATATGTGATATATATGTGATATATATATGTGTATGTGTGTGTGTGTGTGTGTGTGTGTGTGTGTATTTGGATATTTCATGATACTCAAGCCTCTACATGTCACAAACTATACTTAACAATTTCTGTCCCCCCTTCAAGGGCCCCATCAGTGCTCTGTGTTTCTTCCATCAAATTGCATATGATGGGTACAAAGTTACAGCTAGACCGGAAAAATGAGTTTGGTGTTCTATTACACATAGGGCAAGGGTCCCCAGCCCCCGGGCCACGAATCAGTGCCAGTCTGTGGTCTGTTAGGAACTGGGCTGCATAGCAGAAGGTGAGTGGCAGGCGAGCAAGGGAAGCTTCATCTATGTTTACAGCTACTCCCCATCATTCTCATTACAGCCTGAGCTCTGCCTCCTGTGAGATCAGCTGCAGCATTAGATTCTCATAGGAGCACAAATCCTATTGTAAACTGCACATGTGAGGGATCTAGGTTACATGCTCCTTATGAGAATCTAATGCCTGATGATCTGTCACTGTCTCCCATCACCCCAGATGGGACCCAGTAGTTGCAGGAAAACAAGCTCAGAGCTCCCACTGATTCTACATTATTGTAAATTGTATAATTATTTCATTATTACAGTGTAATAATAATAGAAATAAAGTGCACAATAAATGTAATGTGCTTGAATCTCCTGAAACCACACCCCACCCACTGGTCCATGGGAAAATTGTCTTCCATGAAACCAGTCCCTGGTGCCAGAAAGATTGAGGACCACTGCAGTAGGGTGACTGTAGCTAACAATCAGGTATTATATATTTCAAGATAGCTAGAAGAGAGGATATTGAATGTTACAACAAAGAAACGATAAATGTTTAAAGTGATGAAGATCCTAATAACCTTGACTTGATCATTACACAACGTACATATGTATTGAAACATCATAGTGTAGCTCATAAATACATACAATTACTATGTGTCGATTATAAATAAAAATAAAATAAAATGATAAAAGATTTTTTAAATTGCATATGACCTACTTAATCTTACAATTGTGTATTTATTCACACATTCATTATTTATTTTGAATTATGTCCTAGGTGTCAGATACTTACTGAGCTAGGCATTTGGAACATAAAGATAAACATGATAAAATGGGGTTTCCACACTTAGGAAACATATAATCTAATGGGAGCAGTAGACAACTGAACAAGGACAATATGATAAGGAGAGAATCTCCTTTTCAATTAAGTCACCTGAGAACCAATGTTTGGATTCTTCCGCCAGCTGACTGTACTCTTTTAGCCAATGATTATCTGTGGTGAGTAGTAATGTGGGAGTCCGGTTTGGATCCATGATATGACGGGAAGCAGATCTTAACAGGTAAAGCTTAGAATAATGGTCAGAGTAATTATGGGTGTGATCCAAATAAATGTCTTCCCTTGGCCCTTCTTTCTGGAAGCCACTATATCCAGAGACAAGGGAAAGAAAGTACTCCACAGGCAAGAGAGGATTATCAGCGGCATGCCAAATAGGCTGCCCCTTCGCCAAATTCTAGGCAGGAACAACCCTGTCATTCCTCATTTCCACATTAGGTCTATTCTCAGTGCGGTAGAGAAAGGGCGGGGAACATCACACATTGGGGCCTGTTGGGGGGTGCGGGGCTGGGGGAGGAATAGCATTAGGAGAAATACCTAATGTAAATGATGAGTTGATGGTTGCAGCAAACCATCATGGCACATGTATATCTATGTTTCAAACATGCACATTGTGCACATGTACCCTAGAACTTAGGGTATTAAAAAAAAAAAAGAATGAACCCAGGCTTTGGAATGAAACCAACCTGAATTTAATCCCTGCTTGGCCATCTATTTAGGTATGTGACCTTGAGCAATTTCCTCATCTGTAAAATGGATGAGGCTTCTTAGAGGATTGCAGAAAATAACATGCTTGACACTTTCCTTTTCCTTACCAAAATAAAATGTTTTAGGATGTCATCATGGAATCAGTATAGGCCAGATTTTCTAGGAAGATCTTAATTTCAAATGTTCTGTCCCACTATCCCTATAATGAGACTTGACTCTTAGTTTTTTTATATGCACATACTGATGAATATGAAAAATATGCTACAAGGAGTCCACTTTGTTTTTAGTATTGCACAGTAGTCCAAAATGTATGCAAACATTTCATGGTTTATTTTGGGAAGTGCTCTTTTATTGTACAAACACTGGAAAGACCAGAACATATACATTTTTGCACAGTTGGTGAATGAAAATTCTAAAGAATCTCCATATTGGTGTCTTTTCCAGGCGGTGGTGGGGGGAGGTAATTGACATGAAGTTAAATTTTAAACTTTAAAATTGTGATGCATGTCTAAGGCGGGGATGTTGCTGTTTATATTGTAATTTTCTTTGTCACATCCTCCCCGCCCACCTTCCCTTTCCACAGGTAGTTTTCTCTCCTGCACATAGTTGAAGCCAATGTTCATTTTGCTCATGAGTCACTGTTTTTGTCTGCAAAAAAAGGCAGAGTACACTTGATTTGCTTTTAGAGCCATTGCCCATGTTCTTACTCAGTTCACAAGTCATCAAGGTTATATTCATTTCGACTAGTGCAAAATTGTTTCTGGAGACACAACTTACATAGAAATAGCTGTGTACAAATCAGGATCAATGGGAAAGCAGTGATTTTTTTTTTAAAGTGCCAGCATGGGTGGGGCTGATCTGAAATATTTCACATACTGGCACTGAATCAACTGCCAGCTACCTCCAGGGCAGATGAGTCTTACCTTTCCTCTGACTCCTCAGAACAGAGGAGGAAAAATGGGATGGTCTATTACCTGAAACTCACAATAGCAGAAGAAACTGCCTCTGCTTTTATTCTGTGCTAAGTATCTCTGAGTGAATCCAGAAACAGACTAATCTATCTTACACTGGTGAAGAGAGGGTGGAATAGAATGCCCACAGGAATTTTCTGGTCAAATGTGACCTATCACATGAAATAACAACTTATTATTCATTCTAACTATTTTGGGGGACACATCTCCAATATGAATCAAAATCCAACTCTGTGTTATCTGATTGACTTAAGGCTCAAACTGCTCAATGGGAGAGAGGGTAGATAAAAGTAGATGATTCCAGGTACCTTGCAACTTAGTGATGATGTGATTTATTTCCATCTTCTTAATACTTCAACGATTAAATATTTTTCTTATTGATTCTGAGTCTTCATTTTGATTATGGAAAGACTGTTTCTAGTATTAATAACAATTAACAATTATTAAGCATTTCCTGTATGCCAGACACTTTGTTGAGCATGACACATGAGTATTGCGTATAATCCTAACAACATCCTTATCAGGTTGAAGCCATCATCTATCATCATTTTACAGTTGAAGAAACTGTGGTTCAAAATCATTAAGTAATTTGTTCAAAGTGACTCAGCTCATGAGTGCCTGAATTCTCACAGAAGGCAGGTTCATTTTTGTAGGTTAGAATCACCTGGGGAACTTTCCAAAAATACTGATGTCTAGACTCTACTGGGGATGAATTTAGAATATCTAGAGATGGTACTTAGGCATTAGGACTTTAAAAAATAACTTCTTTAGGTGGCTTCAAATGATAGCCAGCATTGAGCAGCTCTGCTCTAGTGCCTGCATTATTTAGTGCTATGCTATGAATTCTCCACTGACCAGTTTATGTCCATTGGCTTAAATGCTTAACCCCTCTGAACATGAATTTCAACTGAAAACTAGGAGTGCTATATCCTCACATCATTAGAATTACTTGAGAAAATAGCCTAACGGGGCAAATTCCGAACCTGGCACTTGTCAGGCTCACACAATGTGAGTCCCCATCTGTGTTTCCTTATTGTTTGCTGTAAGTAGTTACTGCTCACTACTCTCTGTGGGCCTGGCTCCAGCATTGTCTTCATGCTTTTATTAGTTGGCTACTTCCAAGCCACTACGGGCTGGGGAAGCAGATAACCAGAATGAGATATATGTATAAAATCACTGTGTTAGGGAAGAACTAATAGGCTCTGAGTCAGTGCCCATAGGTTTTTCCTAAGGGATCCCGGTTTGAATGCAAGGATTTGGTTTAGTGGAAGGCTCAGAGACATTTGCTTCCCTTCTAGGCCAGAGTACATAGTCACCAAACCCTAGAAAGTTCTAGAAAAGTAGAGATCTAGTTTAACTCCTAGTACTACTGATGGGAACACTGAGGACCAGGGATAGAATGTGATTTACTAAAGATCTCACAATGAGCACTGTCAGAGCCAGGCCTGGAAGCCATGCTTGGAAGTCCTGCACTGTTAACTGGTTCATTCATTCACTCTTTCTTTCTTTCTTTCTTTCATTCCTTCCTTCAACAAAAGCTTATTGAAGGCTCCCCCCCGCCGCCATGCACCAAGCACTCTCCTAGGTGCTGCACTGCAGTGGTGCATAGGACAGTGTACCTGCTTCCTGGAGCCCAAGTAAGAGGGGATAAGACCAGCTGTCATATCACTACCTGCTTTTTCCAGCAGTCTGGATTTTGCAATCCTGCACTCTTGAACAGAGCCATCTGGCTTTTCCTGACTAGTCTTTCTGTTCACTAGTATCTGTTTTGCATCTTTTCCTTTATTTCTTCATAGCTGCCTCCTCCTTGCCCAAAATCCCTTCTAAGAATATTCCCACTTATGATTTCACAATGCACATCTTCATTTTTCAAGGCACACACTTTCTTCTGTGAGGTGGTCCCTTAGGGCAGGGGGGTGCCAGGGATTTAGCCAAAGAGTCTACCAGGGTAATACAAAATATAAGAGCTTCTTAAATAGAACTAAATAAATCCTCACAAAAAATTTAATTTAAAATTCTCATTTCAGCACATATTTTATAGTGTTGTATTATATATTAGTACATATTATCTACCTTGTTAGTACACTTATATTTATTTGTGGGGTATCATAAATATTTTTTACTGATATCAATGTACAAATATGGGAACCACTCCTTAGGGACTCATGTTCAGGAATCCCCCTCATGCTCCCTGACGTCCCATACCTTGAGATGGCACATCACAAATTTATGCACCACGTGGTTCCACTTGGACTTCCTAAATATGGAAAGGTGCCCCGCGTCATGCTGCAAAAATGAGCTCTGAGCCTAGGAGAGAGGAAGTTACTGTTAGAGAAATTGGGACCCTAACAAGAAATCAATCAACAAGTCCCATAGTAGATTCACAACCTTATTTGGGAAAAGTGGGTGATCTTGTTCGACCTCCAGCCAAAATTAGTTTCTATTTCCCATACATATCCTGCCTGTTCTTTCCAACATTTATGCCTTTGTTGTATCAGCCTGGAATGCTCTCCTTGTCACTTTCAAAGGTTTCCAGTATGGAGTGCAAAGACCATGGTCTTTGGTGTCAGACAGATTTGAATTCTAAACTGTTCTTCACCACTAACGAGCTTCACGACTCTGGGCAAGTTACTCGATAGCTCTCACCTTCAGTTCTTCATCTGATAGAAGGGGACACTAATACCTAACTCACGGGGTTATTGTACTACATACCTATATGTAAAGTGCCCAGCGTATGCTAAGCACTAAACAAATATTTGTTTCCTTTCTTGCTTCCAAAAGTCACTTTTCAAGAAATTAAACAAGAGGATTTAAGAAAAAGAATCAGCATCCAGAATTCTGGAACCTCGAAACACATTGCAGTTAATTCTCTACAAAACCTTTTCCAATGATTCTAATGAGAATTAAATGCTCCTTTCTGCTCCGACAGTAATGCTTGTTCCTCTTCTTGGGATTAATATCATTGATTTGTGCCAGGCAGTGTGTTAAGCTGTTTGTGAAGGACTATTTCCTCCACTACACGACTTCTTTCTCAGGAGCAGGGAGCATGTTGACTTTTCCTTTGTATCGACAACATGGTATCACGCTCATAGAAGGCTATGTTCAGAGATTCATACTTCATTCAACAAAGATTTATCAAATGCCCTGCTAAGTGTCAGTTGCTATTTGTCATTTATGGAGGAACTCACACGTTCTGATTCTCACATAGGATATCACATCTGCCCTTGAAGAATTCATGGTCTGATGCATTGATAAATGTTGATTGATTAAAGAATGAAAGATAAATATGTGTGTGGCATGGCTAAGGACAGAACTTCAATCACTGAGATGGTGGGCATAAAACAGGGCAAACAGCAGCAATTGTCACTAATTAAACATTTGCCATAGGCCAGACACTGTGCTTTATATTTTACACATTTGCCTGATTAGTCCTTCTCAGAATAATTCCACATTCATTATTATCCTCACTTTAGAGAGGAGAGAACCAAAGCCCAATGAAGCTTGGTCACTTGCTGGTAAGTGCCTGACATTGATGAGTACCTTGCCAAGAAGTGTCAGGCAGCAGCTGACACCAATCTAAAGAGAGAAGAAGAAATTCTGAGCCTTTCTATGAGGACGCTGCCTGGGCTTAGTATACCTGCTTGCCTGAGAAATTGTGAGAAGAAAGGAAATGAACATAGTAACAGGCCAGCCACTGCCAAAATGATACACTATTAGCCACGCCAGCACTTCCAAAATTAAGATCTGCACAAAGTGAAGAAAGAAGAACCCCAGGTTGGCATGGAACATGTTCATAGCCTCTGCGATGCTCCACAATTCTTGGAAATCTTTTACCAACTGGGACTATGAAATAAATATTCAAAGAGTAAATTAGCTCTTTCAGGGGAAAGGGAATACAGATGAACATAATTAATAATTTATTTTATTAATTTTGTATACATCTCTTTTATTAATAGAATTTTATTAATACATTTAATTGTCCAGAATTAAAACCCCAAAACAATGAACCAGCAAATAAAACCTTTAAAAAGTTTATGAAATTTTTTTGTTGTTTTCTGCAGAAGTGAAAGATGAATAGTGACTTGTAAACTGTCCTAAAGCTGTTATGGAATTCAGAATTAGATTTTTTTCAGGGGATGGGGAAGGAGAGGAGAGGGCAGTGGAGAGATACATGTGCCTAACTGTTGCCTTGTAAACCACCAGAATTATTTCAGGTGTTGAGTGAGCTCTGGTTTTGTTTGGGGGAACTTGGTCATCTATATGGATCTGTGTTACCAGTTACTGGTATAGTTTACAAAGTGCTTTCCAGGCCATCAGTTGCTTAATGTGTAGAAAGGGTTATTTCATGGAAGATGGAGATTGTAGAACAATATAGTTCACTTAGATTAGCTCTCAGGATGAATTTTCTGAGAGCTGCTTAGTGGATCCCCCAAAACAAGGCAGGGCTTATTAGCGTGTGTGTACTCAGTTGGAAAGGTCTCGTTTAAGGGCCCTGTGTGTATGTGCATGTGTGAGTGTTCATGTTCAGCATTAGCATTGGTTTACAAGCTTGCCACATCATACTGGGGAGCTCACAAGGTTGGAAAGAAATATCTCTTGGCTTATTGACTATTATGGGTTTGAAACTAGGACAGCTGGGAAAGTGACCAGGTTATGAGAACTATAACAGGGTTGTACAGATGTAAGAAAGGAGAAATGTTAGAAACAAAAAAAAGAAAGAGCTATGAAAATAATTCCAGAAGCCAAAAATTTCAAAATTCACAGATACAACTTTTAAAGGACCCATTGCCTGGCAAAAGTTCTGGATAGGCTCATCTCCCAAACCCCATCAATCTTAGAATTCTTGTGGCCACAGGTTATTTTAATAATTATCTAATATTAATTTGCTATCTCTAGGGTGCCTCCAGCCTGGTCATCTTTTGCAAAACATTTATTGCAGAGTTGAGGGAGGTCAGCAAAACCCAGAAGAGTGACTGGCTTGAAGTTGTCAACAAGTCAGTGACAGGTGGTGAACTCAAACCCACACCTGACATCCAATTTTATGCTCAAATACTAATTTTCTATATACAGCAACTTGAATATCCATATAAATGTATTAAAGAAAATTTATGGTAGACCTTTATCTCCAGAGACCAACACTCTTTTAGATAATGATTATCTGATAGGTCTCAGTCGTTAGTGGGATTTTATTTTTCTTACAGGAAAAATTTAGGAAAAACAATAAAATTTTGCATCACCTTCACTTTTTAACCTAGAGCTACCTGACCCAAATGATGGGGACATATCTGAAAGTTTTAAAATTACTAGTACCATCATCAGTTCGTGATTATGATAATAAGTAAAATGTATTGAGCATTTACTGTGTTCCAGGCATTGTTCTAAGCACTTTAAATGATGACTTTACTTCTTTCAATTGTTTTCCCAATAACTCTCATAAGGTTGGTACCATTGTTTTCAGTATCTTATGGGGGAGAAACTGAGCCAAAAGAGGTTTGGGAACTGGCCTAGACTCACACAATTTGAGAATGGCAAGGTTGGGGTGAGAGTGCAGGCTGTCCATCCTACCATCCCACTCTTTGGAACAGAGCTGTGCTGTGGGATGAACATGGGCCTAAAGATGGAGCTTACCTATTAGTCTCAGATTTGCCCATAACCAGTTCTGTGTCCTCAGATTAGTCCTGCTCCCTTTGTGAGTCTGTTTCTTCATTTTTTTAAGAGAGAATAAAATCCTTGCTCCCTCTGCTTCACAGGGGTCTATGGATCCACACGTTATAAAAATTATTTCAAGAGTCAGGCAAATGTAAGCTGTTACAAAAAATAAATTTTGAAAAATGAAATTACTCAATATTAAGTAAAATTCCTCTCGGCGTTATGTAAAACCATCCCAGTGAATTTTTAGTCCTATGGAGACTCTGTCCTTTAGAAGACAGTATTCATGTAGCCAAAATATTAAAGAAAGAATGGCATTTTTCCTTGGGAATACCTAAGGGATTGGAGCCAGAGAGAAGTGATTTGGAGTCTCAGCTCTTTGATACACCAGCTGTCAGACTTTTAGAGAGTAATTTGTTTTCCCTGAATGATAATTTCCCCAAATGTAAAAAGGCTGTAGTTAGGATACGGTGACATCTTTCAATCAGTAGCTGTTTTTGGAGTTCCTACTACATGTTGATCCTGTGAAAGGAGGTCTTCAGGACACAGGGATAAGAAAAGTGGACATAGTCTCGCCTCTCATGCAACATATTTGGGCTGGGAACATAGACATAGATATAAAACATAATTAAAAGCAGTCAATGAAAAGGAAATTATATCCGTAAGTTCCCTGGCATGAGGTAGGTGCTTAGAGACATGAAATTACTGTTTGATGAAGGGATAAGAATTTTATTCTTTTTCTTCACTAAGATTTAAGAGTTCCCATGATCTAAAGAAAAAGGCATTGTTTTGAAATACGTGGACTCCATCCATTGACTCTACTGTGGTCCCACCCTTCACAGAAAACAGTTAATTGGCTTTAAAATATGCCTCGTCTCCATCCTTCTACACCCCTGGATCCTGACATCTCACTTACATTTTTGTGTCTTTCCTGGCTGGGCTCTCCTGGGGCAAGTTCTCCAATGAGCAGTGGCTTCAGGTACAACTGCACAATGTCAAGCTCTGGATGCATGGCCCTGAAGACATCCTGTAAATCAGAGATACCTGTCAGAGGCTTTGAAGAGACATGCTTATCCACAGATCCGTTCCTTTTCTTATCTTGTCCTGTGCTCAGTCTGGGAATCAGCACAGACCTCATTGCAGAGGATTTTCTTGTAACTCCAAGTTAATGTTTCCAGTTGATTGATCAAAATTATCCCTGAAAACCATCTCTGTGAAAGTTTCCTGCTGGAGACCCACCTACTACGTGTACTGCTTCTCTAGGTATGACCAACACAGTCAGGGGATCCTGGAGCATTGATGAGATCACTATTTTATTTATCACCAGAAGAAATAATTGAGTTTATGGGTTGGGATAAATCTTTATAAAAGTCCAGCATCAGTCTTAATGTGAAAGTTGCTCACACTATCTGAGACAGTGCGGCAACCAAGTTTGGCTATGCAAATTATATCTTCCATTGAGGGCTCTCTCTGGTTTCTTGGCCAAAGCCCAGGGGAATAAGGCCCCTTGAATTAGTTAATTCTAGAGAAGGACAGGTTAAAGTTGATGATTCCTTAAGGCAAAGGCATGAGAGATTATAAGAGCACAGCCCTAGAGCCCTGGGTGGTCTAAAATAGTACACCTTTGGCTAAGCTTGTCACTGAAGGAGGCTCCTCACTCTCTATTAAAAAAATGCTGTGGTGGCCTGTGCAGAGACTTGGTGACAGCCAGAAACAGAATAGAGGTGACAAACTATATTTTTCCACCTCAGGTGCATGTTAAGTAGCAATTCCGTATGGCTATGAGAAGCAGTGATGGTTCCTATATCCTGTTTATGTTTGGAAGAAAGAGAGTCTTCTCTTCCAGGGATTTAAATTGTTTCTGGAAAGAAGAAAGATTTTCCAAGAGGGAGATGCTAGACTTGTTGCTATTATGGTTTGGGGAAGGGAGTAATTAAAAATGAAGAAATATTACCAAAGTTGTAAACTGTATATATGGAAGCCATACAAATTACTCTGCAGTGGTGGTGTTGCGTTATACTGATTACGAAAGTGGACGCTGGAGCCAGCTTTCCTACATGCAAATTCTAGCATTGCTACTTACTAGCTAAGTAATTGTAGGCAAGTCTCTTGAATTGCCTGTGACGCTTCTATATTATTTTTCCTAAATGGGGGTGATGATAATACCCGCTCAATTCATGAAGTTATTATGAGGGTTAAGTAAATTAATAATAATGCCAAGTGGCATTTACTATGTTTTAAACACATCAGATATATTTCATATGTGTATACCTCCACTGATAAGAACCCACTACCTACCTTCTCTTCAATATTCAGAGATTTCCTCCCTTTACCTCAATGCCTAACGTGGAGTGAGCTCTGAATTATATTAATGAATATAATGAGTGCTACATCTTCAAATAGTAAATCAACTTTAGATATATCCAAGAATTACATATGAGCCTACTTATTATTGTAGTATTATAATAATGCTTACTTATAGAAGTAAGAAGGTATTTTTATAATGAACAAGGTTAATTAGAAGGATACAATATCAACTCTTTAGACTCATTTCACCTATGGGTCTCCAGATGCAATGACGTAAAATGGGCCTTTATCTGTTAGAATCAGTCCAGGCAGTGAAGTGCCATTGCTTCTTTTGTACAGAAAATGCCACCAGTGTCCATTCTGCTTCTCTACATGCCCCCTGAGTCCCTTGGGAAATGCTGGACTAAATAATTTCAAAGGTGTTTAAATTTTTCACATTTATGATACTAAAGTTTAGGTCCCCTAACCAGGAAGAGTGATTCAGTGATGAAGAGGGTGATTAAAATATCTCATTGTGACCCGTACTGAAAAATCATGTGCTGCTTGTTGTTTCAGAGCAGATTAGGTTGGAAGACATCCTGATGGATCAAGATCAAAGTATAGAATGTAATCAATTGCAATTTCGCTGTACTCTGAGCAGCTATCTAGAGTCCTGGAACAGTGTACTGACAATAATATTCTTCTGGGTTCATTGTTTCTTCAAATCCCCAGGAAGGTTCGTAGGTTAAAACTGTAACAACACATACGGGGATGCCGCAGAGATTTTCAGAACAGTAGACACTGGCCTGCTCTGTGGAACTCTTTCCTGCATCATTGGGGCAGCACAAGGAAGGAGTTTAGGTAGAATATTCTATTTGAAAGAATCTTCAAACAGAATCTAGATACTAAGTTGTGAAATTCTCTTCGTGAAAAGACTGCAATAATGCAAGTCCTGTTACCAACATTCTTGGGCCAAATGTGTTTCTGCTGAAAGACGGAGAGGGGATAAAATGAAGAGTAGAAGGGGTAGTGTCAGTGTTTATGAAGTGTGTCCTGTGTACAAGGTATTCTATGGGCCAACTCATAGTCACCATTTTAGTTCTGTGAGGTTCTGTCACTTTCATTGTACAGATCAAGACACTAAGTTTCAGAGGGGAGATGTATCTTGCCCCAAATGCCACACTCAATAGCAGAGCCAGGGTTTGAATTCAAGGTTATGCAATTCTAAAGCCTTAAAGCCCTAAAGGTCCATTCCAGCCTTAACACATATAGATTGTGTTCTTAAAGTCCTCCCAAGAAAGGAGTGATGACAGATTGGGGATGATGCTAAATCAGTATGTATCTGCTTGGCAGATGGTAATGGCGTGTCCCCACCATAGGGTTGAGTCATGTAAAACATTTGCTTCTGTCTCCAACCTGCCTCCCTAGACTCACCTTCTCTATACCCTTCATGCCTCATCTTCTCTACTGGAGCCTCCCCATTCAGTATGCATTCCGTGGCCTTCTGTATTTCTGAGGCTTTACACTTACTGCTCTCTTGGCCTTGACTACCTCCTTCATTTTCTCTCTTTAAAAGCTCCTCTCACCCTTCAAGGCCCAGGTTAAATACTGCTTCCCCCAATCACTCAGGAAAATGATTCATGATTGCTCCTGGGTTCACACGACACTTTGTTCCTAGAGCTTTTCAAATTTATACTATGCTATGCTATGCTATGCTATGCTATGCTATGCTATGCTATGCTATGCTATGCTATGCTATGCTATACTATACTATACTATACTATACTATACTATACTATACTATACTATACTATACTATACTTATACTATAATGAATCTGTGTAATCACCCTTTTTTTTAGTGGTTTGTGAGTTTTTTAAAGACTGGGACCATGTACTATTATTGGTTAATGTATACCTAATGTCAATCACTGTGCCTAAAGTATAGCATGTGATCAATAGACACCTGACAAATAAGGGAAAGGGTGAATGAATGAACAGATATAGCATTTCTATAACAAAGTATTAGGATAATCAAAGTGTGGCACTCTAAGTATACAGGTGTTAAGCGCTGCTGTCTCTTCCTATCCACGGCATCTCTATTTTCTGATCTTTTTGTGACTTCAGCATCTCACATTTTCATCTGTTAGTCTTTTGGCTTCCTTCTCAATCATCATCTTTACTATTTAAATTATTCATAAATTTATACCGTAGCTCATCTCGTAACTGATTATTTCCAAAATAGTAACAGCATGGAGAAGATGTGATTACTGCTTTGCTTTCACAAATACCTTGGATAAACTGCTAATTTTTTTGCTGTTATTTGGTGGGAGATGGAGTCATGTGCTTTCCTGTAAAAGCAGTATGATCCCTAGTGGAAGAGAAAAGTATATAAAGTCAGAGGGTGTGAGATAAAATTCTGTTTTTACAACTTAAATGTTGTATACAGGCTGTGACCTGTACAAAGGCACTCGGCCAAGATGGCAAGTGTGGCCTGACTTCCAGTGGACACTCCATTTGCCAAACCTTGTGCCTATAGGGCTGCAATCACCCAGAGAGTGTGCCTTTCCTAATTCACACTAAGGCATAGTATAGGGTAGCAGAGGAGTAGGCTGTTTCACACACAGAAATTACTTAATTTCTCCTAAATGTAGATAACACTACCTAATCCTCTCTATGAGCTCATTAATTCCTTCATTCATTTATTCAGTCATTCTAAAACCTATGGAGGACCCAGCCTAGAGGTTAAGAGCTTAGATTTTGGAGTCAGACATCAATAAGTGGCCATGATTATATATGATTATCACTTAGTTCATTTGAGGTGGGTTGAAATTTCCCAAAAGAAGTTTACTAAGGAACAAACGTAAATTTAGAAACCATCCATAGAGAGTGTTGTTATCCATAAAACAAGTTATCCATAAAACAAGATAACTAGAATATAGACCTTGGTGTACTCACTGCAAAAAAAAAAAAAAAGCTCACGAGACTCTTCTATATCTAGCCACAGATGAAGACTCCTGCTCCCACACCTTTGGGTAATTCCTCTTCTGTTTCCTTCTTAGATTTCACCTGCCCTAAGGCAATGGCTAGAGCAAGTCTCTACAAATTTCAGATGGACAGTGAGTTCTGAACAGGCCAATTTGTGTGGAGAAAGCATCTTTGCCCTTGTCCTGGGAGACAGCTGCTTTGGAGTGGGAATGATCACAGAAAGTCACCAGATTCCTCTTCACCCATAGGGATAAGCAGAGGGTTATATTCCCACTGCAACTCATACTATTGTTTGAACACTTTTGTTTCTTGAAAACTCTTCCTTATATTGAGATTTTTTTCTATAATGCTTTCAGCTGAGCTCCAGCCCAAATGAAATCAACTCTCCCCTCCCCTTCCACTTCCTTTCAAACCTGTGCATTCTCCTGGGCTTCCTTGTAATAGATATCACCACTCAGTTGCCCAAGCCCGATATCTATAAGTCAGCTTAGACTCCTCAATCCTGCTAGTTTATCAAGTCACTCTTCAAATATTAGAAATTCTGTCTTCTAAAAATCCTTCCCACCCAGCTCCTCTTCTCCATTCCTGTAGCCAACACCTTGCTTGGGCCTTCAACATGTTCCCTGGACTCCACCCTGGTCCTCCTTCATTTTGAGAGGCTCTTTTGGATTTCATCCTTCACTTAACTGCCAGACTCAACTTCCAGAAAGGCACTGTCTCCTCATGGCCCATTTTCATCTCTTAGCACTTGAACTTCTTTCTCTCTCCTCTCCTCCATCTATTTTACAACTAGAACTATCATTTCCACGAGAATCAGATAATTTTAAAAGTTTTGATGACGCAGGAAAGATGTAATTATCACTGATTATTACTTTTCTTTTACCAACAGCTTAGAAATGCCAGGTGATTGTGTTGTGAGGATGAAGGTGGGAGGGATGCTGTGCTAGGGACACATTCTCATGTATAGTAGGAAGAGAGGCAGCAATGCAGTAAGGATAAAATGCAAACTCCTTAGCTCAGCACACAAGATCCTTTCTCTCCCTCTGCTTTCTCTTTTCTCTTCCTCTATCTCTTCTCTCTCTTCATCTTCTATCTGTCTTCTCCTTTTCTCTTAGCCAGTGAATTCCTCTGTCATAACCACTACCATTAGTTAGCATGTAGTTTCGGCCAATATTGTGCTAAGTAAAGGAAGTGTCCAGGCTGAGATGCCCATTCTGGTGGGGTGCTTATGCCATGAATCATATTTATACTCCATTTCTGTATACACCCTCCCTTTCCCCTGCCCCAGCCTTGCCTCTGCTGGCTCTGCTCATCTGAAACCATTCAGAATGCCCTCTTTTGGTGCTGCACACAACTCTTCTTCTTCCACATACCAGTCCTCCAAAGAGCTGAAATGGATCCTGCCATATTTCCTATAAGATTTTGTCATTCTTTCCCATCATGTTGGACTCTGACTCTCATGAGAAAGAACTTCAGTTTCTTAGTCTCTCTATTAGAGTGTTGTGTCCAGAAATAAGGAGTGTGCTAAACAGCACACAAGATAATAAAACTGCTTTCTTTGTTCTGATTATGCTGCCTCTCTGAATGCATCATAAGATTGCAATTATGTTTCTCGTGGAGCTCAGAACATACTGTTGTTTTATACAAAATTTGTGGCCAGCTATTTGTTCATATATATTTACTGTCATCAAAGTGTTTTGTAGGTCAGGTGCAGTGGTTCATACCTGTAATCTCAGCACTTTGGGAGGCTGAGGCAGGAGGATGGTTTGAGGCCAGGTATTAGGAAACCAGCCTGGGCAACATAGTGATACCCTATCTCTACAAAAAATTTAAAAAATCTGGCTGCGATGGCATACACCTGTGGTCTCAGCTATTTGGAAGGCTGAGGCTGAAGGATCGCTTGAGCCCAAGAGTTGGAGGCTGTAGTGGGCTATGATCATGCCACTGCACTCTACCCTAGGCAGCAGAGTGAGACCCTTCTCTAAGAAGAAAAATATGTTTTATAATCCTAATTTTAATGATTGCAAAATAGCTTATTGTATTGTAATTATAATCTATAGAATGAATCCTCCTTGTTGTACTTACAGGTTGTTTCTGGATTTTCCTAGGTGAGCTCTTACAGATAAAAAGAATGTGGCCATAACTCTAGTTATTAGCATAGTGACATTAGTTTTAAACCATATTGTTTGAAAATACCAGATAAATCATATGTGCAATAACAGGAACTTATATACCAATTTTGTTTTATAGATTTATTTTTCTTAGTAAAGTTCCTTGGAGAAAATGGAAACCCATCTCAGAAGACTGAAGTAATAATAAAATACAAGAGCTGCTATGTTTTGAGTATCTAATTTGTACCAAGCACCACAGTGAGCACTTCATTTGATCTCTGCTGACTTTTACGGCAATGCTAAGGTGAAGGTATTATTATCCTCATTTTCTAGATAAGGGAGCTGAGGCTTCAAGAACCTCAGGACATTCCTAGTAAATGTGGAGCCCAGATGCAAAGCAGACCTGTTTCATTCCCATGAGGCTGGAACCCTAACAAGAGTTTTGGAATAACTGACTGCATGAATGTATGAATTAATGACCCTTTGGGATAGATTACGTAGATACCATCATTCACCTTTTATGAGGATGATGGAGACCTACAGAAGATTACGATGTATATAAGAAAAGGGTGCTTTCTCTGGGCAGGTGCAGCCATGGGCCTGGGGCTGACACACAGTGAGAATACTTTGGCTCACACTTGCCCCTCAGAGGCTCGACCTGCAAACGTCTCTTAAGCTATAGGGTGAGCATTTGATCTCACGCCTCCTGACTTTATGATCTTCCCTCCTTCACTGGAAAGCATGATGCTTCATTATATAGCCCTCTGTTCCCAATCACACAGGATTTCTAAGCTAGTGGTGAACAAACAAGAAATAATAATTATATTTCTGAGGATAAAGATGCTGGTGATAAGACTGATAATAGATAAGACTGAATGAACTTTTACTAAGTATCTGGCACTAATGCCAAGCACTTTACATGCGTTGGTTCTATTTGCCATAAATCACTCAGGTGGGTAATGTCAGCCTCATTTTGCAGTTGGGGAAGCTGAGGCTCAGAACATCCCAATAACATTCCTAGGTTCACATAACCTATTCCAAAGCTCAGGCTCCCTGTACTCTGAGTCATGGAGTACTGTGGATTGTTCTAGCACTCCCTGTTCCTTCTTAAGCCATTTTCTCTAGGAGAATCTTTCCTCTGGACATTTTTTATCTATTTTCCTAAAGTCTAAGATACGTTACTGACCAATTTATGATTTTCTTCCTAGACATAGGTAAATCCTAAGGTGGCATGGGTATTTTCCCACAAGATTCTGATGGTTTCTATTATATTAATCAATTCCTCCTTGTTGGCTATAATTGGACACAAACTCAGGGTCTTTTCCTGACTTCTAGGAGATAAAAATCATTAGCAAATTAAAACTTTATCATCTATCTGGGCTGCCTCAAACTGAGTGAGGCTATCAGTTATTTTTAAGGTGGTTGAAGGCTCACATCTTTGCGAACACATCCTCTGAGCTAATTCTGTGACTTGTGTTAGCAAAGCCTCATCTGTATTTTCTCTGAGTTGTAGAAATGAGGGGATGGGATAGATAGGCATCTGTAGTATGTTTTACATTTTCTTCTTGTTTTTTTTTTTGTCTCCTGTTGTTCTTACACAAATGCTCTTCTTGCTTCTTCTACCCTCTGCTCTCTGATTTCTGGGCACTGTGTACAAGCTTATGCTTATTTTCCAAGGAAAGTTTGAACTTTGTTTAAGAAATATATCTGAGAGAAGTGGTGGGGCTGTAGCAGGGCATACTCAGAAAGGTATTCATCTGACTGTAGAAACAAGATAGGAAGAACAGGAACCTAGACAGACAAGAGGGATGAGAAATTGGGGGAAAAGTAAGAATTGAGGAAAAGAGATGCAGATGGCATCAAAAGATGAAATCTTGCAGGTATTTGTGAATTTTGTTATTATTAGTACAGTACCATGTATAGACTGGTACTTAGCAAAATAATGTTTTCAATCCGATCTTTAAAACCAGTTAAAGAAGTTATATGCTAAACTGTAAAACCAACAGGAGCCACATACTTTTTAAAAGCCTGCATTTAAATTTCTATTCTGTCATATATTAATTTCTGATCTTGAGTTAGTTGTTTAGTTCCTCTAATTCTGTTTCTTCGTCTGTACAATGTGGGAAATAAAAGTCCCAATTGAGAGAAAACTGACTTCTTTATGGAATATTTTAAAAGAGATTCCTTAAGGCATTTAAGATTTTGAGACACATTTTTATCAAATATTAAGTAGAAATTTTATTTTATTTTTTACAATCCAGATATTTAAGGCTTTAGGATCAAACCGACCTGATTTCAAAATTTGGCACCATTACTTGCTGGCTGTGAGACATGTTATTTACATCTTTGAATGTCAACTTTGTAAGAGTCTTATAAATTTCTATTTAGGTTCAGATGTTCTTTTTTTTCCCAGATTTTACTCACACATTTATCATTTTCTTCTTATAAGACAGTGACTCAGCTTCAAAACGAAGCAAAACAAACCACCAAGAACAAAACAAAACTCAGAATATGCAAACATAGTATTCACTGGCAGCATCTGAACTCATCCCAAACCAGGTGCAGCTCATAGCTAGACCTTGAGGCTTAATTTACTACTAAAATTTTGCTAGAGAGGAATCCTGAAAAATTGGTTTGTGAGGAGATGAGTGATTGTGGAATGCTTTTGGGAGGAGAGCCAAGATCTCAGCCACCCAGCAGCTGGGGGAAAGACGGAGAGGGTTGGGGGGAAAGCTTGGAGTTTCTTACCATGGCATCTTCCCCAGCACAGTGGTTGAGGACCTGGTGCCCACCCGGATGCCTGTCGGCCCAGCTGGAGACATTGTAAACCTTGCAATTGATGACCAGTCACTGGTCGGCCTCGTGATTATGCCTCTGGATCTCCAGCCAGGTGTACATGCTGAGGCTTTTCCTGGGCGTGCTGCATTTCCCATTTGCCTCCTGCTTTGCATAGACCTCAGCTTCCCCATTTGCTATGGGTTTTCCTTTTGGCTGATGCTTCTCACCCGGGTATGACTGATTCCTTCCTACAATGCTCCCATTGTCCCCACACTTTTCTTCAAATTTCATTGTCATCGAATCCCTAGGATTTCTGGATTAATGCTTGAAATTTCTAATCCTCGCCTCTGATTGAACCATAAAATGACTGCCTTTCTCCCTTTTCATTCCATTGCAGTATGATACCTACACTGAAAACTTCTGAGCCTAGTTGTCTCTTCACAAACCTCATAGTGAGCACCTTCCCAGCTTCTCACTTCTTTGCCTGTCCTGAATCTTTTGTGCCTTGATGAAGGCTAGGCCACCTTCCTTCCTTCTTTCGCTCTTCACCTCTCCTCTCTCTGTTCTCTAGTCTCGTGGAAGCATCCTCCTTCATCATTAAATGCTCCTTAGTAAAGAGCCTAGGCCAATCACACTCTGGCCTCATGTTGTGGCCCTCCCTGAGAGAGGAGGGACTAAGCTGTGGTCCTGGTGATTCTCTTGCACAGCCTCAAGGCGTGTTGGGTTCATTAGGTCTCTGACTTGCCTGTGATCAGAGACTTTTAGATGTACTAATCCAACATATGAGCAAAAGCTTTCAAAATCTCCAGGATGACACAACTTGGACTTGGGAAATGTTCTTTGGACAGCTATTATTTATCCCGAGGACCTTTTAATTCTTTTAAACTTTTTTAAAAGAAAGGTTTGGATTACAATAAGTTAAATAAGCCAGGAACAGAAAGGGAAACATCACATGTTCTCACTTATTTGTGGGATCTGAAAACCAAAACAATTGAACTCATGGACATAGATTATAGAAGGCTGGTTACCAGAGGGTGGGAAGGGTAGTGGGGGTTTGGGGGAGTGAGGTGGGATGGTTAATAGGTACAAAAAAATAGAAACAATGATTAAGACCTACTATTTGATAGCACAACAGGGTGACTGTAGTCAATAATGACTTAATTGTACGTTTTAAAATAACTTAAAGAGGATAACTAGATTGTAACTCAAAGGATAAATGCTTGCAAGGGTAGATACCCTATTCTCCGTGACGTGCTTATTTCATATTGCATGCCTGTATGAAAACATCTCATGTACCCCATAAATATAGACACCTACTATGTACCCAAAAACATTACAAATAAAAAAATAAAATAAAGAAAGGTTTGGGCTTTATTTTACCAAAAAAGCACATCAACATAAACTGGTTTTTCTCTCTTGTGATTTCCCTTTGAAAGCTGTTTAAATCTGTCAGCACACGTAAAGGTAATCACAACTGATGTTTGCGAGACCACATGATGGTTTACAAAGCTGTTGTCACATGTTTGATCTGATTTAAGCCTCAGTTCAATCTTTTGAGGGAGGTGCTATTAGTGCCCCATTTTCCAGGTGAGAAAACACGGACAGAAAGCCTCTCAGGTAACATTCCAGGATCATCTTGTGAGTGAAAAGTGAACTGGTGCATTGATCTAGATTTTCTGATTCCAAATCTCCAGCTCTTTCACTCTGTTTCCCATACCTTGATCTAGACATTTGTAATAACAGCTCTGTGGTTTATAAACAAAGCAGGAGAAATAATTTCAGGGTGGTGGAGGGGGGAAGGGTCTTAGTTTTAAGGAAAGAGGCTACATAAAATAGAAAAAATATATTCTCACATTTGGGAATCTGTACTAACTTAATTATCAGTCTTTCAGTTCAAGATTTATGTAGAAGGAGATTTATTTCAATATTATTTATAATTGTTAAGATCAGAATAATGATCTAAATATTTAGCAATAAAGACTGTGTTACTATGTAATAAAGTCTGTATATACTCAATATTACATAGATATTAAAATAAAGTACAAAGTATGTATTACTGAATATTATATAGATACTAAACAGGAAGTTTTTAATGGCATGGACTCCTGCTTGCCATATAAAAAAGAAAAAAATTAGTCAATAAATTGTATTTACTAGATAGTATATGATTGGAAGGAAATATGCCAAAATATTGGCATTATTTCTCTTTGCATTAAAACATTATTCAATATTATTTTCTTTATTTTTTGTGATACTTTCTCAGTTTTCTACAAATTAGTATTTTACTTTTATAATGTAAAAGGCAGTTTCTTTAATAAAAATAGAGAATCAAAGAAAGAAACTGATTTTGAAGCTCAGATCATATTTTGGCTTCCCCATTATTATCTGTGGAAGATCAGGCAAATTTCTTATTTAGGCTTTAGTTTCCCATCTGCAAAAGGAAAGAATGAGCACAAATTTCAGCATTACATTAAATTAACTTAGGTGCTGTGGTATTAACAGAAATCCCCTGCACTGTCTATGATTTCTGAATGGGAATTTTATAAATCCAACATATGCACACCGAGTATTTGTAGGTCCTAGGCGTAAATTCCTGACAGCTCCAGAGTTCCGGTATAAGTGAGGTTTTGGGGCAAGAATCTGGTTGGAAGTTTGGTGAGGGCAGGTCAGGGGCTTGTCCAGAGGAGTTGCCTGGCACTTTAAGTAAATTTAAGAGAATGTCATTTTGCCATATCATGATGATACGGTTTGAATGTTTGCCCCCTCCAAGATTCATGTTGAAATTTAATTGCCATAGTAACAGTATTTAGAGGTGGGACCTTTAAGAGGTGATTAGGCTATGAGGGCTCCATCTCATGGGTGGGATTGGTCCCTTTATAAAAGGGCAAGTTCAGTCCCCTCAAGCCCTCTCTGTCATCCTATTGCCTTCTGCCCTGTAATGACATGGGAAGAAGTCTCTCACCAGATGCTGGCACTGTGATATTGGATTTTTCAGCCTCCAGAACTGCGAGCCAATATATTTCTGTTCATTGTAAGTTACGCAGTCTCAGGTATTTGCGTGCAAACTGTTTGGAAGACTCAGAAAGTATTTGTAATGAGAGCTTTCCTAGCAAAAGCCCTCTGTATGCTTGGCAACTTTAAAATGTTCCTTTTCAGATTGGATGCAGTCGGAATATGGGGATATGTTAGCTATGTTCAATTTTTTCCCAAAGTCAGAAACAAATGTCCTAGCATCACAGAGAACTGACCCCTTCTCAGTAACCACTCCCCACCCCCTTCCCCTGGCTCCCTCATATTTTAATGCTTCCTGGTGGAAAATTTGGTAAATTCCTTGCCTCAGATGTAATGCTGAAGATTACAACAATTACAAAAAGAAGTGTTTAAACCAAAGTTCTTTTAAGGATAAGATTCTGAGGTGTGAATCCCACACTGAACTATTTGAAAAGCAGGCATCTTTTGCTGGTTGAAGGTGAATGATTCATTCATTCATTTATGAATCCATCCACCAAACCCATATGGAGTGGCTTCCATGGGCCAGCATTGTGCCTCTAGGACTTTTCACCATCTTTAAGACAACTGGGCCATTTTCACATCGTCTCTCAACAGGGCAGCAGAATAGGGATTACTGTGACTCAAATATGTGTATTCAATTACTTAAGATACTCAAGGCAGTATCCCTTGGCCAAAGCAGTTTGACCTTCAAAATCCCAGTATCCCTATTTCTCAGCCTGAAACTGGTCAGAGGTATTATATAAGTTTTTCCTGCTGCCAAAAACCATCTTGTCTTCATGTAATTTATTGAAGTTTTCACAAGAACTTATTATTTTCTGATGGCTACACTAGATAATCTGGAGATGTGAGATGAACAAAACTTTCTTTTCTCTGTATGAGGAGCTGCTGAAATGAAACAAAACAAATAAAGAAAACACACTGCCCAACTCCCTCCATTCCTAAGCATGTGGTTTCTTTGTAGAGAGCTAGATTTCCAGGATTCAAAATCCAGGATCGCTTCTTCTAGTGCTGTGAACTGGGACAAGTGCCTTAATCTTCCTGTGCCTCAGTTTCACATTTCTAAAATAGAGAGGAAGCTAATTATACTAATGCCTAATAGACTTTCCATTGTAGAGATTAAATATCTTAATTCATGTATCGTGCTTAAGATAATACCTAGATGTCCCCGAAGTAAATATTAGCTACTGATATCATTTATTTATCTCCGAGTCAGCATATTACTCAACCTCAGCAATGTTCAGTGAGCACATGCAATCGCCAGGCACTGAACTCTGAACTGAATAATTCAGTGTTCCTAAAGGAAGTGGGAATACAGTCAGTTAATGGGCAAGAAAAAGAGACAAACATGTATTAGTTCAATAAAAGCAGTGGGAGAAAGAACATCAAAGCATTCATCACAGACTGAAGAAGCACGTTGATCTTTCCTTCTCCCACGGACAAGGGCTTGATTTTTGGAATCACAGTTGTCCCACTTTGAATCTCTCTTCTTCAGGATCCTTCACGCCTTTTAAATTAAGAAATGAACATTCTCCAGCTCCACAATGTCATAAATCAACCAAAAGATCAAGTTTATGGACAGTTCTATAGTAACACCCTCAAAACCAAAGCATTGCTCTTTATGGTAAAAAAATGGAAATCATTAAAAAGAATTCTACAACAGGCTTGGATGCCAGCCTATGCCACTTTGAGGTTCTGAGGATTCAGACTCTGTAACCAACAGAGAAAGAAGATCGTTTTTGAAGATAGCAAAGAGAGCAAAAAAGTGCCAGTGTTAGCATAAAAACTGTTCATGTCTCTTTTATGCTACTTCTTTCTAAAAAGCTGTGCATCTTTATATGAGGCACTTACCCTCTCTGAACTTCAGTTTCTTTCTCTGTTCAATTAGATATGATACCTATTCTGCTTATCTTAAAGGGCCGTTGTGAGGCTCAAAAGAGACAATGAAAGTACAAGTATGGTTTTAATGCAGAAATCTGTTATTAGGTTAGTAATAGTGTTAATGCCATTAAAAGTAATGGCAAAAACAGCAATTACTTTGGTACCAAGTTAATATTATTATGATAATTGTGATTTTATAATGAGTACAAGATTTTCTATGTTCTCCATAGGAGCTATTCCAGCTGGATCCATTGTGTCACACAGAGAAAAACATAACCTTTCTTCTTAGCTACAGAACCATATAGAATGTTGGACTGAACATAAAGGGATTCTTCTGTTGGCTCACTACTTACCTATCTGTTTATAATGTGCTTTGAGATCCTTGAGATCTACTTTATTATAAGTGCATGTGAGTGCAGCTATTTTTATCATGGGCTGATTTGCTCATTATGATCAGGGCCGATCTGCTCCCCAGATGGGTTCATTTAACTTGAGGCACACCCTGGCTCTGTGTGTATGAACACTGTGTAAACTGCACTCCCATTTTTCCCAGGGCAACTGTTCTGAAGTGCTGCTTTATAATTTCAACAAAGTTTGTTTGAAAAACACTCAAATTAGCTACTGGTGCCTTGGCTTAAAAGAGTCTCATTGTCTCAAAGCAGACATTCAGGAAGGACTGCTTTAGCTGTGCTGACAGCCTGCTATTGGCTAGCCCTGATCCTGCCATGGGCAGGATTCAAGTGGGGCAGTGTGGCCTTGTTTTCACACAAACTCAAAGCAATCATTTACTTCTGTGGTCTCAGCTGCTGCCTTATCTCATGGGGGAAGAGGAGAAACAGAGGCCTGTTCTCAGGAACACCCAAAACGGTGCTCAACTAGTCAAGTAAGAGACAGGGAGTGGTGGAGGAAAGAGCAGGGGATTAAATTCCAACATCCAGGAGGGCAGGGATTTTTGCCTGTTTTGTTCATCACTGTAGAGTCTGGCATAAAATTAGGTCCTTGCTAAATATTTGCTAAGTAAATGAATAATGCACGAATGAATATCTCGGGGAATGGGACATCGTTTTAGGTTTGCCAATGACCTTTAGCTGGTCTCTTAGGTACACTATTGGTAGAAAGAAATTGAAGAGAAGAGACACTCGTGATGCATTTGCCATGCATCCCTCATGTTTACATACCTCTTAATTTTACTTAATTCTCACAATAGTAGTGTGTGATAAGTGTTAATGCCATTTCTCTCAAAGGAGAAATCAGGTTCAAAGAGAGGAAATCTCATGCAAGGAGTTAGATAGCTTAAAAGGTGTGGAAATGAAGATGGCTTCTTCAAATTTTTCCCTAAATACTCTCTAATATTTAAGGAAAATAAATGTAAGCTCTAGGGTTCAAGCTTCAAGTGGCTTCAAGTGACTGGTTGATGCAGTTTTATTTTAAAACTTCATGGCTATTTTGCTTCCTGCTCAGTAATATCCAGTTTAGCCTCACTTCAATTTTGGGAAATGCCGTAAGTTTATCCTATAGTTTCATGAGGTCCTTGGCCCATGGTCCCTCAGTCTTTTAAGAACAAAGTAATTTGGTTTAATTTTCCTCAGCATTTTATTTTTTAAAATTTCAAACCTAAAGTGCAAGAATAGGGAAGTGAATACTTATCTTTCTATCATCTGGATTCATGAGTTTTCAGAATTTTACCATGTTTGCTTTATTTATTTCACGTTGCATGTGCTATCAGTCAATCAATCATTTATCTCTGTCATTATTCATTTCTGTCCATTCATCCTTTGCTCTCTATCCATCCATCTATATTCATTCAGTTCAACTATCCATCCATTTTTTTTTCTGATTCATTTGAGAGTTCGTTACTGACATTGTGACACCTCACCCCTAAGCACCGTAGAGTGTATTATTTTTTACTGATAATTAATATCCATGATATTCATTGCATGGATATCTAGGACATGTATCTTCAGGGTAAGTTTCTAATGTGAAATTGCTGAGTCAAAAGGTGAAAATGTAGGCAGTTTTGTTCTATGGCCCTCCATAGGGGTTGTATAATCTTATACTGTCAGTAGCAATGTATGAGTTTCCTGTGATGAGGCTTTGAGCTTCCCGTGAAGCAGAGCCCAGTCTTGCCATATTGAAGCTGGGTATATATTGTGTTGTATGGTATCTTTGGGGGCACAGGGATGCTTGCCACTTGGCACTGTGGCCTTGGATGCTTTGGGGAAGTTTGCCATGCTGAATCAGCAGTCCTGGAAGAGACTGCTGGAAGTAGCAGCACATATGGTTGAAGATTGCCACTTAAAAATAATTTTGTTAAAGCCAGTGATAAAATCATCTTTTCTACCAGCGTAGACTGCTCCCATCACCCTGTCCTTGGAATACCACTGCCCGTGTTACACCATGTCCTGGCTGGGTCCCTGCCAGATCCCAGAAAAAACCTGCCTAGCCTCAGACTTCTTCTATGTGCTCAGAAATCAAGTCTTGAATTCTTCCAGGGACCAGATGGTCTCCAAGAACTTTAAATGTGTCTGTGTATTCAGGGATTTCTTGTAGTCTTAATCTGTTCTGAGTACGCTGAAAAAGAAATAAAGTTACTGGCTGGGCGCGGCGGCTTGCGCCTATAATCCCGGCACTTTGGCAGGCCTGGGCAGGCCAATCACGAGGTCAGGAGATAGACCATCCTGGCCAGCATGGTGAAACCCCTTCTCTACTGAAAATACAAAAATTAGCTGGGCGTGGTGGCATGCACCCGTAGTCCCAGCTACTCAGGAGGCTAAGGCAGGAGAATTGCTTGAACCCGGGAGGCGGAGGTTGCAGTGAGCTGAGATCGTGCCACTGCACTCCAGCCTGGTGACAGAGCAAGACTCCATCTCAAAAAAAAAAAAAAAAAAAAAAAAAAAAAAAGAAAAGAAAAGAAAAGAAAGAGATAAAGTTACTTTAGGCCAGTAAATGTCCATGTAGGTTCAGTCTATGAAAACGAGCCCAATTTCAGTGTGCAATCCACCTTTCTTTTTTCTTACGGCACCTTATTTGGCATTGGTATGTATAGTAAATAAAGAAAAAAACCAATGTCAGAGTTTGAAGAGCCACCTAGTTTTACATCTCGCTTTACAAGAGACAACTGGTGATCAGAGAAGGTAAGTGACTAGCCCGAACTAAGACGGCAAGTGAGTGGGAAAAGGGGGTACCATGTGTCTTTTCTTATGGGGTTGTTATGAGTAGTAAGAAAATGCATTTAGCTTAATGCCTGGCACAATGAAAGAACTACTGAATGCTAACTGGTAAAAAAATAGCCTTGTGTAGCAGAACGATCAACAGTGATAAGGATGACCACAGAATGAAGATGAGGCATCTTCTATTATTTCTTTTCTTCTGGTACCCTGAGATCCTTAAACAATAAAAGGGCAGTGGTTAATACCAAAAATACTTGATTTGAGAACTTCTTGCCAACATTTGGAGTCTGGAACTGGATTTAATATGATTTAGAAAAAATAGAGAATCTATTCCCTTATGGCTGATGGTAGAAGGTAAAATTTTCAAGGAATTTAGAATAAACGGATGTGGGAACAGCGAAGGAATTTGGAAGAAGCTGGATCAAGAAAGAATAAGGGCGCTTTAGAGAGTTGATGCTGTCGAGTTCAGAAAATACATGAAAATAGCCTGAACTACTTTAAAAACTGGTCTTTAGTTGTACTGTTTTGCTTTCTGCTTTGAGACTGGACCACATCGTCATTGTCACTTTATTTTTAAACTAGCTTTATTGAGGTATTATTTATATTGAGGTATAACTGTGTAACAATTCCACAAATGCTAAACTGCATGTATGTAAGGTGCAAAATTTGACATGTGTATATACCCGTGAAGCCATTAGCACACAAGACAGTGATTATCTCATTGCCTCCTAAAGTCCTCTCATCCCCCTGTTATCACACTCTCACCCCTCCTCCTCACCTTCTCCCCATTGCTAGGCAACCACTGCTCTGCTTTCTGTCATTTTTTTTTCTAGAATGTTATATAAATGGAATCATATACTATGCATTTTTCCTTTTTGGTCTGGTTTCTTTCCCTCAACATAATCATTTTGAGATTTATCCATGTTGCAGCATGGACATTAAGAAACATCCTGACTTTTTAAGTGCCACAATTAGACATATTTTTAAAAAGTCCACCAGACAATGTATGGAGGATAAATCAGTATGGAAAACTGAAGACCAGGAGATTAGCTAGTGAATTTCCCTGGGAAGAGATTACAGGAGGAAAAGGATGAAGAGGGTGCCAATTTTATACTTTCATTAGGTATAACTCTCACACTAATTATTTTTCTGGAAGGATGATTTTCAACAGGTCACACACTTACTAAAATTCTTTAATGGATATTTCATTGCTTATAGGATAATTTCTAAAACCACTAGCCTGATAATTACAGTGTTGTCCCCAGCCCATCACTTCCTGCTTCCCAACACAAAGTCTCTCCTTCAGTAAAAGCATCTTACCAAATACCTTACATTTATACCTCTATAAATTCCAGGTTTCTTTGGTCCTTATGCTTACTCTCTCTTTTGTTCCAAGGTCCAGCTCGGATTGCCCCTTCTCTGAGTAGCCTTTCCCAGTCATCAGGCTGGAAGTGACCTGTTTCTCCCCTGATTCAATAACTCATGCTATGTCTTTGAAAGATGTGTTTATATCAATAATGACCATGTGAGTTGAAAGACAGTAACATAGATCAAATGGATTTAAGAGAAAATGGAATTTACTGTCTGAAAAAATGAAAATAAAAAAAGGTATTTATTGGCTCACAAAACAGAAAAGTTCAGGGTTACATATGTCTTCAAGCATGGCTGGTTCTACTGGGCAAAAATTACTTTTTTTCAGGATATTGTCCTAATGTCTCTCTTTCTCAATGTTCAACTCAGTTCTTCTCCAGGTTAGCTTCATTCTCAGGTACATTACTTCCTTGTCAATGCTAGAAGTTTGGGCTTCAAATTCATACAAAGATCTTCTCTTTTCTAAAGTGTAAAAATGGGACCCAGGTGGACTCTCACTCATTCTGTGGCCCGACAAAGAGCGATACCAGGTGAGCTGGCCTGGATTGTAGACCCCACTTGTGACTGAGCCCAAGAAATTGCAAGTCTACCTGATGAGGTTGCCTTACTAGAGACACAATCACGTTGAGGGAGAGGTAATTTCCCAAAGGAGGAACAGAGGATGAGACAGCAGAAGTCTAGTTCTCATATTCGGTTGTATATTTTTTTATTATGCCATGTGTAAATTATATCTTTTCTGCTGGGATGTTAACTCTTTTTGAGGATAGAAACCTATTAATCATCTTTCTATATTTTTCTGACTCTATAGGACATATAAAGAATTTTTTTAAATGACCTGTAATTCTATCACATACTGATGGCCTTGTCCCTTTTAGGGAGATCATTAGACGCGCACACACACACACACACACACACAGACACACACACACACATATATATTTACAAATATACACACATTTATTCATATGTTTGAAATAAAACTGCACACATTTAATAGTATTGCTGTTTTGTATCCTGCTTTTATCCACTTAACATCTTTTTCTTAATTTTTCTCTATGTAAAATATTCTTTAAAAAAACACAATTTAAATGGCTACATAATTTTCCAAATTAAGTATGTACCATCCTCTATTTAGAAATACCATTATTATTGGTTACGTGAATCTCCAATTGTTTCCACTATTAATAATGCTTAATGAAACCCTTTTTGATAGTATTTATTTGTGTTATTTCTGTAGGATAAATGCCTTGAGTAGGCAATGCTGCGTTAAAGGGTTTGACTGTTTTTAAAGTTATTGACACCTTTTATCAAATTACCTTTCAGAATTTATGCTAAAGTTATTGACACTTCTTATCAAATTACCTTTCAGCATTTATGCTGCCATTAAAAGTTTCATTAAAGGCTTAATAACTGCAACACCAAAGGAGTGCATCTTTCTAAGTTTCTTGATTTATATTGCCATAAATATATATTGCCATCTACTCTGAGGTTACTTTCCAGAATGTACTATCCTACTAGGAGATTCATTGACTGATGACTATATTCCTTCCCAGAGTTTGGGTTGGTGCTGAGCTTCTAATAGATGCTCATGAGATGCTTGTGGATTTATTTCTGTTAATACTGCATAAATTGCTTGAACCAGAACAGAACTTAAAGAAATAAACAAAGAGAGCTTACATGTTTGTTATGTAGGAAACAACACTCCTACGCAATACTTCTACACATTCAGGAAGAGAAATGTTAAATGTTGAATGAACACATTCAGCAGAAATGTTGTATCTCCTGAACAACATTTCCAATAGTATACAAATCAATATGACTCAAGAAACATATAATAATTTTTAAAGAATATAACTATCACATATTTTATATATATATAATGCTACAGATGCTCTCTTTTGCCAGGCCATGCCACAGTGTTAAGTAAAAATAAAATCTTTGTAAATATAGTGACTATGGAGAAAAATAATGGAAGTGCTTTTAATGGTGAAATGGTTCAGGGCTATCATCTCCAAAAAGGCTTCTCCACCTGCCAAAGCCCTTGGAAATCTCTTCCCTTCAACCCCTTCTAGTATCTGTAGTGTGCTTCTATTCATTTGGCAGATAGCCAAGGTGACTTGGACTGTTAATTACCTAATAAACAATTACCTAATAAACTATTATACCGACAAGAACGAAGACCATATAATGTTAGATGAACCCAAAGGGAATGAACTTGAGAGATCCTAGATATATGAATATAAATATAAGAAACTGTGAGTGGGTCTTGAGTATTTATGGGGAACAGTGTCATTTTCATCACAATAATTAAATACAATTACAATGAAAAAACTTGGAAAGCATGATGATTAGCCCATCTGAAATCTTTACGGTCAAATAATTCAAAGGCATTGAGGAAAGAACCAGGTAAATTTTAAATTGGCCCCTTTCCAGCACTCCCTTTTAATTTGGTACTGTGTGCACCTCCTGGAGTAAAAACTCAAGGTGGCAACATATTCAGCTCACATTTATCGTGTTTCTACTGCTGGTTACATGCTTCACATTTGTTATTTTATTCTTCTTCATAATAGACAGGTAGGTATTTTCATTCCAACTCATAGATTGAGCTAAGTATTCACTATGTCTCAGATATTGTGTTAAATGTTTTGCATACCTTATCAAATTTAAAAAAGTGTATGAGATAAGAACTGTTGTTTGCTATAATTTATGACAGACTGGGAAGGTTAAGTCCTTTACTGGATATTATAGCCATATCATTAACTGACAGATCCAGTTGCTTCCAGGTTTATTAAAAATACTAATTTTTCATATTAGGTCAACTAGTCTCAGTAGGAAGTCTGGTTCTTTGCACTTGGCTGGAATTAGTTTATCTCAGGATAATGCTATGTGTTATCACATGGTAATTGGAAGCTCCAAATAACAGTGACTTATATTCTTTAGAAATAAAAACTGAAAACAGAAATTTACCTTTCAAAGAAAATGGTATTTAATGATATAATATGTTTGACTGAGGAGAATCTGCTTGATGTACAATAATTGTTATTTTCCTTAATAACTGCTACCTTCTGTGTACTTTGAAACCTCACTTTCCAGGTTAGCAGTGGATTCCTTTAATATTATTGTACTCAGATATCTTAGCTGTGAAGTCATTTTAGTTATTGAAACAATCTCATTTGGGTTATTTTCACATAGTGCTTCTATTTTAAAACAGCCTTATAAATGGATCTCTCATGAATTGTTAATGGGAATGTAAAATGGTACAGTCTCATTATAAGACAGTTTGGTGTTTTTTTTTTATAAAGGTAAATATGCACTTACCATATGAATGATCCAGCAATCACATTCCTGGGCATTTCTCCTAAAGAAATGAAAACTTATGTTCACACAAAAAGATGAACACAAAAGCTCATAGCAGCTTTATTTATAACAGCCAAGAAATGGAAATAATCCAGATATCCTTCAACAAGTAAATTGTTAAATAAACTTTGGTACATCCATACAATGGGCTCCTATTCATCAGTAATAAGGAATAAACTATTGATACATACAACAACTTAGATGACTCAAGTGCATTATGCTGAATGAAAAATAAAACAGTAAACAAAACCTCAAAGGGCAATATACTGTAAAATTATATTTATATACAATTATTGGAATGACTAAATTACAGTAATAAAGAACAGATCAGTGTTTATTAGAGACTGGGGTTGAAGGAAGCGTGCGCCTATTAAGGGGTAACACATGAGAGAGTTTCTTTGTGGATTTGGAGCAGTTCTGTATCTTGATTATGGTGATGGGTACTTGAGTCTAGCCATGTGATAAAATGTCACAGAACTATATACCAAAACAAATAGACAAAAAGAGTGCACGTATATCCTGGTGAAATCCAAATAATATCTGCACCTGAGTTAACAGTATTATTGCATCACAGTCACTTTTCTGGTTTTGGCCATTTACTATGGTTATATAACATTATTATTGGAAGAAGTTAGCTAAAGAGTATATGGGGACTTTATACTATAATTTTTGCAACTCTTGTGAGTCTTAAACTGTTTCAAAATAAGAAGTTATTTTAAAAATCAATCTCATATTCAGTTTAAAGCTCCACCCACACTACCCCAAAACCTTCCACAAGCTGTCCTGGGGATTCCAAGTGCTTTCCTTTCTATTCCTTTTAATGCTGGGGAGGAGAGGAGAAAGTAAAAATAAGATGTTTCTATTTACAGCTGCTCTTGGTGAGTTGGCTTTCTTTTTCTTTGTTGTAACTGCTGTTCCCTTGTATCAGAGTTTTTCAGCCTCAGCACTATTGAAATTTTGGACCAGATACTTCTCTGTTGCTGGGGATGGAGGGTGGGGAGCCTGCCCTAAGTATTGTTGGCCTCTATCCACTAGATATCAGGAACAAGCTCCCACTTCCTCCCCAGCCAAGTCATGGCATTTAGTCTGTCTTCGGATATCGCCTATAGTTCATAAGGGACAAAGTCACTTCTGGTTGAGCATCACTGGCTTATATGCCATTCCCATAATGGCAAGGATGTGGAGGCAAGGAAAGTGTGGATGAATGAGGCTCCCATATGCTTCATCAAAGAAAAGACTCAACTCCTAACAATGCTTGAACATTTGGCTTCAACTTTTAGCTGACTCACAGCTGATGACAAAATACTGTTCTCATACCGTGCTGGTCTGCAGTAAGCATGCAGCCACTAATTTTGTCCTCCTGCCTGACTCTCTCTAGGGATTACAGGATTTCTCTTCTTTCCTGGAGGGGCTGCAGATGCTCTCTTTTGCCAGACCATGACACAATGTTAAGTAAACATAAAATCTTTGTAAATATAGTGACTATGGAGAAAAATAATAAAAGTGCTTTTAATGGTGAAACGGTTCAGGCCTATCCTCTCCAAAAAGCCTTCTCCACCTGCCAAAGCCCTTGGAAATCTTTTCCCTTCAACCCTCCCTCTCTAATATCTGTAGTGTGCTTCTATTCATTTGGCAGATAGCCAAGGTGACATGGACTGTTAATTATCTAATAAACAATTACCTAATAAACTATTGTACCAACAAGAACGAAGACCGTATAATGTTAGATGAACTCAAAGGGAATGAACTTGAGAGATCCTAGAGTTCAACTCTTTCATTTAACAGATGAGGCACAGAGAGGTTAAGACTTACCCAGCATTATACATTGAGTAAGTTACAGACCCAGGCTGTACCCAGGATCTGTAACTCTGTGTCATTGACCTATAAATAAAAGTATTTCCCAAAGATAAGGGAGTTAGATTGGGGCCATATAATATGGTAGTTAAGAGTGTTAACTATGGAGCCAGATAGATTTGGGTTAAAATTTCTGTTCCACCATTAAAATGACTGTGTGATATTGGGGAAAATTTGTCATCTCTCTGAACCTCATCTGTAAAATTGAGATTATGATAGAATCTAATTCGTAGACTTATTGGTGCAGATTAATTAACAATGTATTTAAAAGTTTTAGGACAGTGGTTTTCCCATAGCAGACACTCCTTCCTCCTCATTATCACCTTTACCATCAGCACAGCAAGTGCTTAGGAGTTTGAAGAACTCTTTCACATACATTGAATCCTCCTAACCTACATGTGGTTTTTCAAAATGGGTGTTAGTGACCTTTTATAGATGAGGAAATAGGTTCAGAAGATGAAGATACTTGTTGAGATACACATGTCCTGTCAGCGTGAAAACACAAGCATAGGTCTTCTGACACCAAGACTAGTGCTTTTCCTTCAGGGCTTCCCACCTCCCAGTGACGATTTTTGTCCTTGATGGCTATCTCGGGGTTTTGCATGTGCCGGATTTAGAATAAATATTTCCTGGGGCCAATTCTTGTATTGTTTCTTCCTTCTCCCCTGCCAACATATTAGATAAGAAATATTAGGTGACGGGTCCTTATTTCATATACCTTAATAGGCCACACATATATGGTTGGAGCTGAATCCACAACTTGTTTTCCATAAATACTTATTGTTGTACATGAAATTGTGGTAGCCATGGGAGATGTATTGTGAGCTCTGATGTTATAGAACTTATTATCTAGAGAACATATTATCTGGGGAGCTTATTATCTTGGGAGCTTATTACCTAGAGAGCTTTGCAAAGGTCAGAAGCAGAAGTCCAAATTAGAACAAATGTCAGGCAGTGGTGTGGGGCAGGAAAAGATCACCAGACCAGGGCTCATTAAATGCTCTTTGTTACATCAATTATGGACACACAAAACAACACAACCAAAAGCAAAGGAAGAAAGAGAAGAATACATGGGGGAGAGAGGGGAGGTATCTTCAATAATTCAAAATGCCTGAAGGAAAATGGTCTCTTACCATATGATTAACAAAAGGACCATGTTTCTTTGCTTTTTATTTGTGCAGCATAAATAATAAAAGTTGTATTTAATAAGGTTTTAACACGGAGTTGAGATTTATATGACTTTCTCATTATTCTCTAAATGAAGAAACCTTCCTCTGAGGCTTGAGCCACAGATATAAAAATGCTTACTGGAGAAGTTGAAAATGAAGGCCTGCAAACCTGGAGCTTTTGAATGAGACAGAGAGAGCAGTAGTGTGCAAAGGGTAAGAGAGGTAGCGAATACAGGATCATGTTTGTACCTTGGTACCTTGAGAGGATTTGGATTTTACTTGAAGTACAACTGGTCATCATTGACAGGTTTTAAGTAGCTGAAGGACATGATCCAATTTGAGATTTTCAAGGATCACTCATTCTGGATACTGTGTAGAAAGTAGATGGAGAAGAATGTAAGTGACGAGTTAGGAAAAGCTTGTACTAGCCCAGGCAAGAGATGATGGTAGATTGGGTAAGAAGAGTGGCAGTGGAAATGGAGAATTGTCCAGCCAAATTCATCCTTCAAGATTCTTCCCTGATTTATTGCTTTTCTAACCAGGAAAGAGCCCTAAAGTTGAATTTTAAAAAGGCAGTTCCTGGGTCCATATAACTATTCCACTATATTTCTATAATACCTAATGCTTAATCCTATCAGAACCTGTATTGCATTGCCATTTTTTGCATGTCAAACTGCTCACATATCGTTAGTTTCATATGGTTCAGTGTATCAATGGAAGATATTCTTGTGGTGTGTCTATTTTATGCTAGCCTTAGCTGGTTTCTACTACACCGTATGTGTCTCTTTAATTGTCTAGCTTTGCTACCACACAGGCTACCCCCTTCCCAGTGTTACTGGCGGGTCTATGTTCTTAGAGCTCCCAAGATGGCGGCAAGCCTTTTGTTCTCTGACCTGGGGTTCTTGGCTTCATGGATTCCAAGGAATGGAACTTTGGGCCATGCGGTGAGTGTTATAGCTCTATTAGAAGCCATGGGTCATGGAAGAGAACCGTGGAACCCAGTGACTAGTGTTCAGCTTGATTAGGACGAACCTGGGCACTTAGCCATGCAGGAACATGGCGAGCCTCTAGCCCTATTGGGAGCAGCAATGGGTGCCTCGCTGGATCAGAAGTGCAGTGGATGCCCTGCCGGATCTGGAGGGGTGGAAGTCAGTGGGGGGTCTGTGACGGCGATGATCGGCAGTGGTGGATGGTGAGCAAAATCTCAGCTCGAGCCAGACAAACACGGACCAGAAGAGTGTGCAGCTGCAAGATTTAATAGAGTGAAAACAGAGCTCCCATACAATGGGAGGGGACCCAAAGGGGGTGGCCACTGCCGGCTCTAATACCTGGGTTTATATCCTGATCATTGTTCCTCCCCCTGTGCTCTCAGGCAATAGATGATTGACTATTTCTTTACCTCCTGCTTTTTAGCCTAATTGGTATTTTAGTGAGATCTCTTTACTACCTGATTTGTTGGATGTGAGCTGAGATACAAGCCCCATGTTTAAAGGTGGGTGCAGTCACCTTCCCCAGCTAGGCTTAGGAATTCCTAGCCTAGGAAATCCAGATAGTCCTGTCTCTCACTGACACCCTGCCCTCACTCCTGCCACACATACACACTTAAGGGCAGAGACTGTGACTTTCCTATTTCCATTTTCAACCACCTGTACAGTGACTGGAAGATTTTAGCAGGAAGAATATTATTATATAGCATTATATATAGCAAGAAGAAGCTGGCCCAAAAAGGTTGGTGTCTGTGGTTAAATCATGGGGAAAATGAATAGAATCAGAAAAGATTCAGAATCAAATACTCTGGTTCAAAATGCTACTGTCCTCATTTTTGGTAATTGGTTGAAGAGATAGAGAAAGGAGAAGAAGGGGTAAGAAGAATTCTGTAATTTGCACCAAAACCTAAAAGGGCACTGATATCATCACTTGAGCCAAACTCCCAAGAATATCTATAGGAAATCATTCTAAAGTTGAAATCTAGCTCCTTGGGGAGCATGGTGTGTTTTACAAAATTAATTTGTTCTTTGGAACATTCCCCCCAATGGTTCAAATAGAAATGGTTGGATTTGAAAGAAAATGGTTGGATTTTGGTTTACAGTCTCCACTAGGGGAATGGGCTGAATGGTGCACCCAGTAACAGTCTTTTACCAAACAAAGTGGTATTGGCAACTTGAGATCAGGGTATGCGGCTATGCAAAAGCAGTATGTGTTCTCACCTGGGCCTGCTGCTGTGTGGGATTGCATTTCATGAGGAGGGAGGTTACACTGCAATGGAATTTCCTCTGCTAATCCTGTGAGATCCACCATGACCTTGTCAGCAACCTAGTGCATGTGTTCTCTGAACTTAATACCATGAAACCTGAATATCTGAGACAGGTCTCAGTCAGTTTAGGAAGTTTATTTTGCCAAAGTTAAGAACGCACCCATGACACAGCCCTCAGGAGGCCCTGAAGACATGTGTCCAAGGTGGTCGGGGTACAGCTTGCTTTTATACATTTCAGGTAGACATGAGACATCAATCAATATGTGTAAGATGTACATTCATTTGGTTCAATAAGGCAGGGCAACTCAAAGTAGGGTTTTCCAGGTTAGAAGTAGATAAGAGATAGAAAGTTGCATTCTTTTGAGTCCTTGATCAGCCTTCCACTATATACACAATTTAGTCTAGTTAGGCAAATCTGCATTTTTACATAAACAGTAGGGCAGAGGAAACAATCAGTTATGAATTTGCCTCAGGTGAGTGTCAGAATGATGACTTTTGATTTCTGTCTGTCCTTTGTCCACAAGGGATTTCCCTGTGGGCAAATTGTGTGGGAGGAACATAGCTTCTTATCTTTGTAACTATCTTATTTAGGAATAAAATGGGGGACAGGTTTTTGCCCTAAGCAGTTTCCAGCTTGACTTTTCCCTTTGACTTAGTGATTTGGGGCATCGAAGATTTATTTTTCTTTCACATTTCCCCCCACGCTTTTCTTTTTAAAATCTTTTGGAGAAAGCATTTGAGAAGAAAATGAGTCTCTGGTCTCAGGTTTTGTCTAATCTCTCATGGCTAGGATGGTTTATCCCCAGATGAGTAGGTCCCACTGTATAAGGAAAGCTCATTTTTAGCAGGTTGTGAAGTCTCACGTTCTATGAAGAGAACATAAGAGAAGAAGGGAGAACAACAACAACAAACAAAAAAGAAACAATCCTGGAAAACTGTAATAGGTCATATTACTCTGAAGTCCGTACATCAGTAGGCAGGTATGAAAGTGTATGTAAATAGGTTGTTATTTTCTTCTGAAGTTTAAGTTATCTAGCTTCAGTTTGCAGGAGTTTAAGAAATCACAACTTAGTTTTCAGTGATTCTAAATTAGGAAAAATGGGGGTGGGGAGTGAGAGGAACAGAAAGAAGGAAAAAAAATGAAAACATTATTTTGGAGACTTGTAGCCAGGAAATATTAGGATTCAGTCCAAACTGTGGAAAATAGTAAAAATGGAAAACCATTAGGCAAGACTAGAATCTAGTAATAGGTATGATATACTTTCTAAAACATAATTTTTCTCTCTCAAGTTTCCCATTTTTGCTAAAGACAAATCATGGTAGGACCAATTTGCTTTATTATATGTGGACTGATTATCTGTATAAAGTGCAGCAAGAGTAATTATTTTTTTCATATAGGCCTTTTTAATTGGCTTTCATGGAACTTTGTTCCATAGAAGGAATCTCAGGTAAGACTTCTTTAAAGCCAAACCCAGCCACGGCTTTGTACCATCAAATAACTATGAGTTGGGTAGATTCCTCTCCTCTTGAGGTCCCAAGATAACTTGGGGCTCCTGAGCCTGTCAGAAAGTGGCATTCTTTACTTACCACAGGTCAGGAACTCTGTCCAGAGACTGTGTAGACAAGGTAAGAGAGCAGTTTTCCCAAGGGGCTTTTATTAGCTCCAAAAGTCAAGTTTGATTCCTTAAAGGGAAGCACACTATTCCAGTCAAAGCCTTGGTAAAATAACCAGTTTCTGCAATGGTGTCCTGTTGCAAAAGAAAACAGGCATATTGCACTTATGCCAATAAATATACTGCCATAAGTTAAGAATACTCATAAATAGTTTCCAAATTCTGGAAAAATCAGGCAGAAAGAAATAAATATGCTCCAAATTTTGTTCACAGGAGTATACTTTACCTCAATTCCTACAAGCTGTAAATAGCTCAAAAAGTTTTCTTTTCTTTTTCTTTTTCTTTTCTTTTTTTTTTTTTGTGAGACAAAGTTTCACTCTGCCCCCTAGGTTTGAGTTCAGTGGTGCAATCTTGGCTCACTGCAAACTCTGCCTTCTGAATTCAAGTGATTCTTCCACTTTAGCCTCCCCAGTAGCTGAAACTATAGGCACGCACCACCATGCCTGGCTAATTTTTGTATTTTCTGGTAGAGATGGGGTTTCACCATGTTGGCCAGGCTTATCTCAAACTTCTGACCTCAGATGATCCACCCATCTCAGCCTCCCAAAGTGCTGAGATTACAGGTGTGAGTCACCATGCCCTGCCCAAAAAGTTTTCTTGACTCTGAAAAACAAAACAAAGGATCAGCAATGTCTTAAGCAAAAAAGTCAAAACAGATTATTTCAGTCTTCTATTAGTTCAGTCCGTGCAGTAAACTCCTGTTCTGCATGATATTCATGAACATTCCATCTCTCCATGAGAGTACTGAGTTTTTCCATCTATTCTTATGTCACAAGCTCAAAGGTATCAGAACTCTGCATTCAAGAACACCTGTTAGAGTTTTATAGCTGGTTATAAAACTACCCTCTAAAGAAGACCAAAACAACAATAGTCTGTGGATGACAAAATGTTTTAAAGGTGCCATAGTCAAAGACACAATTGACAAGGAAATTTGTTATCTCTCTGGCACACAGTATTTTAACATAACAATTATAATTATTACTGATAAAGTGCCCTAAATCATATCAGAATTAGAGGAGTTTCCCATAATTTTGAAACACATACTAATAACATATTTAAACAAATACAGTCCAAAGGAAGCCAAACATCATTTCATATTTGACAATGCTTCCTGTATGATTTTTATACTAAATAAGCCAAATATGTCATTTTTGGACTTTAGGGAATATAATATCTTAAAGGATTAATTAGATCAGAAAAAGACATTATAATTTATAATTTGATTTTGGAAAGTTTGTCAAATACCAAAGATTTAAAATGCTTGATATCACAAAATAGCATCACTGGTCATTGTAAAATAAGTTATTCATTTAACCAAAGTGATAACTCAAGGATTTCAAAAAAAAGGTGTAAAACCTTTATTCTTTAAGAAAGGAGATTTAATATTTCAAACAATAAGCCCCAATAGAAACAGCATGAGGCAGTGTGCTTTGATATTAATGGTTTATTTATAGAGAAACTGAACTTATTTTATCTCTCAAAATTGGCCCTTACAATTTTACATGCCCATCTCTTCTGTGATAGTTCCCAGGCCATGAGAAGTGGAATAGCTTTAATTTCTGGCCTGGTGTCTTATGAACACAATTTACTTTGATTTGCATCTTTTACTGGGTCTGAAGATGAGGGTTTAACTGCCATCAGTGTTAAGATTTAGCAAGACTTGGTGTCCTTTTTAGAACCAGGCGTCAAAGCCCTGTAACTTAATGGCACAAAGACTTAAAGGCACATACAGAAAGTTATATGTATGCAATAACCTGAATTAAATTTTTTTTAATCGCAGTTTTTCATAAGCAAACCAAACTTAGGAATAATGACATAGGAATTATTTCAATAAAGCATAAGATCTGTTTATTAGGCCAGTTACCCAAAGGCAAAAGAAAAGACCTTCTGTAGTGTGATTGCTCTTCCCTATGAGGAATATTATATTGGAAGGAAACATTTCCTTTAGACCTTTAAGATATAACTTTTTTTTTTAAAGCATCAAACCACAACAGTTAGAACTCAAAGGGGGGAAAAAAACTTACAGGAACTGAAAATGAGTTGAAGGATAAAGTTATTATTTCAGGACTTTTAAAGGGGGAGAGAAAGCTGAAAACAGCAAGATGCAATAAAAGTTGAATTTTGCAGAAAAAATTATAGTGTCTTATAATTTATTAAGCATGTAAAGCAATATCTTAAGAAAATTTTGTAGTTCAAACCAGTTATTTAGTGTATAATTATTTTAATCAAAACCAAATCTTCAGAAAAATGATTGTAACTTCCCTTTAATTATAGAAAACTTGGTCATATAAAAGATTTTTTAAATAAGTCCTCTTATTATGATTTACACAGAGCATTCATGGCATGCTTGAACTTTCTAGTTTGTCCTAAATGTCTCTGTTTCTGAAACAACCAGTCATTTTATTCTAGGATAAGATTTACTGTACAAGATTCTGTCTCATATAAAATTATTTTTGTTTAAGCATTCTTACCAAAAATACCTCTTCATTTCTATAACTTTCTCTATATCTCTCTTATTTCCTGGTTCCTTTTACTTTGTTTTATATATAACCTTTAAATAAGCTCTGAATTAGAACAAGACATTTACGTTTTAATAAGAACATCTTTTTAAAGTTTTAAAAATAATTTTTAAATTTGAAAATTTCTCAAACACTTAATATCTATTAATAACTTTAGATCCTAAATTACATGACAAGTTTGTTTACAAGCATTTAATCTGTTACATTTACCTAATTAATATATTTAATAGTTTACCTAGATTAACTGTGATAGTCATTATTTAAAGTTATTTCCCTGTTAACCATTTTTATAGCTGTGAATTTCAAGTGTTACTCAAGAACTTTAAGGTTAAATATAAAGGTATATTTTTAAACGATAATTCAGGATTTAGATGTTTTCATTAAACCAACAATATTTCATGTCTTATTTATCAAAAATTACACAAGCAAAGATCATTCTGTCTTGGGCTGTGTTTTATAGTTTTGTAAACTTTAAGGTCAATCTCATAGTATTCTGCAGGAATAAGCAAAAAACTGCTTGACCAATAAATGCAAATAAAAATGCTAACAGTTCTTAAGACAGTTCTAATGTTATTTTACCAATAATTTTAAAGCCAGCTTATTTATTAAAAGCTTACTTAAGTCATGTGATATTGGAAAAGCATTTGACTTTTTTTTAAAGAGAGTATTTGATTTAAGTGCTTTTATTTTTCTTTAAGCCAATTAGAGGTATTTTATATATTTTCAGTAGTGAAACATTGTGTACACAACACATAAATACATAAACGTATTAGGCACGCCAATAGAAGCGCATCTTACAGATTCATAAGACCTCTTCTTTTTCTTATCTTAAACTTGCAAATTATTGATAACCTTTTTCATTACCCTAGGCAGTTGTCAGCTGAACAGCTCTGAATTTTCAGGTTAAAGGAAACCACTCTTAGGTGAAAATCAGATAGTAAAATTTACATCTCAAACTATATAGAGAAAAAAGCTGGTGTGCTAAAGGGAAATGAAAATCAATTTAATTGCCAGTTAAACATAAAACATAAAATTATAAAAGTCTTTTAAATATATATATATATATATATATTTGCACACACACACATACACACACAAAAAAGATTCTATAGCTTTTACTTTAGAACTCTAGCCATGAGATAGATAAAATTCACTGGCTTCCAAAAAAAAGCTTGGATTCAAATAGTGGTTTTTATCTCAGTAGAAAAGTAACAGCAGATTTAAAGCAGGCAGAAAAGAAAATAGATGAAAAGAGAACTTAGGAATTCTAGAGAGCTTGGGGGTCTTTTTCCTTGATGCAATAGACCATAACATTTCCATTTTACACAAACACTATCTAGCAAGTAGAGGTGCCATAAAACCGATGGAGTACCTGAAAGGGGGTCATTTTCTCCTCATTCATAGATTATTTGTTTCCCACTTCTTTTTTTCTTAAAAGGAGGAACTGAGCTGTGGACTAGGGTTTTGTAGAGTGGGTGAAAGTGGGCTGCTTGCAGGCGGGACTCCACAGTGTGTCACCACTGAGTCCTTGTCACCCTCTTATGTGTCTCAGTTTCTCTCTCTAAAGGTCTAGCACCTCCAGGAGGGCTCAAGTGCCGAGTGACCAGCTCCCTTGTGTGCTTCCTGTATGAGTCTTTCTTTAAACTAATTTTGTTGGGGGTTCCCTGTAGGGCCTCTGTATGTCACAGGGGGTCAGGACCCCCTACACTCCAACAAGGTCCACAGTCACCCAAAGAGTGCCTTTCGGTTGGGAGGAGCAAAATGCCCTTTCTCTTCTGAGCTGAGGAAACTCAGTCTCTCATTTACCTGTGTAAATAACAGTTCAGTTCCTCACAAAAATGCACACAGGCAAGCCAAATCAAGATTAATTTTGGGAGAAAAAGCAATGGAAAAGACCCTTTAGAATGCACTTCCAAATTAAGAGTTGGATCCATAAACAACTTCCTAGGAAAGAAAATAAACAACAAAACAACCAAGACCACTTTCTGTAAAGTATCCTTATCCACCCCTAAATTTGTAGCTCCCATATGACATTACACAAGCCAAGGTCAAATCATCTCACAGTACAAGGTCATCCCTGGTTCCCCTAAAGCCAAAGAGGTCAGGTAATACAGTAGAGAAGAGCAGAGCTTTAGACCTAAGAAATATCTTTCTATGACTCTTGAAACCCCACAAAGAAAACAGAACACCTCAAAATAGGTGAGTGGCACCTACCCCCATGATTCAACCATCTCCTACTGGGTCCCTCACACAACATGTGGGAATTATGGGAGCTACAAGATGAGATTTGGGTGGGGACACAGAGCCAAATCACATCATTCTGTCCCTGGCCCCTCCCAAATCTCATGTCTTCATTTTTCAAAACCAATCATGCCTTTCCAAAAGTCCCCCAAAGCCTTAATTCATTCAGCATTAGCTCAAACGTCCAAAGTCCAAAATCTCATCTGAGACAAGGCAAGTCCCTTCTGCCTATAAGACTGTAAACTCAAAAGTAAGCTAGTTACTTCCTAGATACAATGGGGTACAGGTATTGGGCAAATACAGCTGTTCCAACGGGGAGAAATTGGCCAAAACAAAGGTGTTACAGGCCCCATGCAAGTCTGAAATCCAGCATGGCAGTCAAATCTTAAAGCTCCAAATGGTCTCCTTTGACTCCATGTCTCACATCTAGGTCATGCTGATGTAAGAGGTGGCTTCCCATCGTCTTGGGCACTGCACTTGATGGATCAGCTGGTGTCACCCAGATTGATTAAGTAGCTCATCTGATCTTGTGGTCCCCACCCAGGAACTGACTCAGTGCAAGGGGACAGCTTCAATTCCCTATGATTCATCTCCTACCTAACCAATCAGCACTCCTGGCTCACTGGCTTTCCCCCATCCACCAAGTTGTGCTTACAAACTCTGATCCCAAAATGCTCAGGGAGACTGATTTGAGTAACAATAAAACTCTGATCTGCGTGAATGACTCTTTCTATTACAACTCCCCTGTCTTGATAAATCAGCTCTGTCTAGGGAGTGGGCAGCGTGAATCCATTGGGTGGTTACAGTTTGAGCCACAAAGATAGCTCAAGTTGGTACCAAGCACTAACAGGAAATTTACCAAAGGTCAGGGGTATCTGCACTCAGAATCCCTTCATGGTTACCAAAATGTGAGACCCAAATATCTGAGACAGGTCTCAGTCAATTTAGCAAGTATATTTTTCCAAAGTTAGGGATGCACCTGTGACATCCTCAGGAGGTCCTGAGGTCATGTGCCCAAGGTGGTCAGGGTACAGCTTGCTTTTATGCATTTTAGGGAGACATGAGACATGAATCAATATGTGTAAGATATACATTGGTTTGGTCTGGTAAGGTGGGACAACTCGAAGTGGGGGCTTCCACATTAGAAGTAGATAAGAGATAAAAGGTTGCATTCTTTGGAGTCCTTGATCAGCCCTCTTCTGAATACACAATTTAGTCTGGATCAGTGAATCTGCATTTTTACATAAACAGTAGGGCAGAGGAAGCAATCAGATCTATATTTGTCTCAGGTGAGCTCAGAGGGATGACTTTGAGTTCTGTCTGTTCTTTGTCCACAAGAAATTTCCTTCTGGGAAAATTGTGAGAAATGAATGTAGCTTCTTATCTTTGTAGCTATGTTATTTAGGAATAATATGGGAGGGAAGTTTGCCCTATGCAGTTTCCAGCTTGACTTTTCCCTCTGGCTTAGTGATTTTGGGGTCCCAAGATTTATTTTCCTATTACACTACTTTGTACCCTGGGCCAAGTCCAAATCACAATCTCCGTGATATGATGATAAACAAAATAAACTCTCCTCTCACAAGTAAAAATTTTAGAAGCATATCTTGGAGTCACATATTTGTTTGAAATAATGATGATAATGATCATGATAACAATAATAAAACATTATTAAATATAATAATAAAACATTAATACCTAAAAATTTATTAAGAATTCAAGACATTCCAGCACTACTTTAAAAATTAACTTCACCTCCACTAGAAAGTTAATTCTCACCACAATTTTATGAGGTAAATATAGAAAGTTTTAGTAACTTGCCCAAGTTTGCACAGCTTGCCAATGATATGGCTGGGAAGACTTTTTTTTGTATTATTCCATTTATAGTCACTACTTCACCTCTCAGCCATGAAACTTCCTTCTGCTACACATTCCTTAACTTCGTTATCATAACATACTTTGGGAGCCCCCTCACTCTAGCCAATCTAGAAAACTCCCTTGTATTCATTAAGACTCATTTAGGGAAATCTGTGAAATTCATTAAATTTCCCCTGGGTTTCCTTAGTACTTAGTGCATGTCTCTGTCACAGTAAATAATCATTACGTGTCTATACATTTGCCTCCTTCAGTAATCTGTGAGCTCCAAGAGAAACAACATGGTGCTTCTTTTTTTCTTTTTCTTATCCCGAAGATGTGGACCAGGTCAATGTCTAATAAATGTTTTATGAATGAATAATGAAAGAATGAAAAAATAACTCAATTACCTGAACAGAGCCAAAATTCAGACAAGAAGAAAACTCTGAGCAGCCCAAATGAATGGCATAGGATTCATGCTGTGAGGTGCACGGGTAGTCCTCAGAGAAGTGCAGTTGGAATGTATCAAATTGTCTATTCATCTCTTTCCAATGGAATTGCCCTAACCTCTTTCTAAGGACATGGTTCCATTGGAGCATCATGTTCTTATAATGGAACTCTTTCCTCCAGGCCACGGGCTGCCCCAGGAGACCTACTCAACCCATGTCAAGCCAGTGAATTTCTTTTGGAAGTAGTTATCATCATGAAGGGAGGAGATGTGAATCTGAGAGCTGTTGGCAGTGGTTACTTTCCACCACTTAGACCAGGAAGCCAAGAAGCTTGTCTGCAGCAAGTGTGAAAAGTGAGATGCCAGGAAAAAGAAGTCAAGTTTATAAATTCAGAAAAACTTCCTGGATAGAACTCTCATAGTACTCCAGTGACTGAGGTATATAGGTTCCCTGATAAAATGGCCGTATATATTATATTCACAATTATATCCCCAGCTGTAGTACTGTAGGCATTTTATAATTATTTGTTCAATGAATAAGTAAATAGGGTCTCAAGTGGAGGAAACAGTTAAATGAAAAAAAAGTGGCAGCTGTTCTGAATTATTTTGATCTTGGAAGATTTTATATTTCATGTAGGATTATAATTGACTGATTGTTGATTTCATCATTTTGACTTAGAAACTTTTGCTCTGAAAAATATGGCAGGAGTTCATTTGGGTGGATTAGATAATCATCAAAGTTACTTGAAAAGCTTGTATAAATGTCAGGTTCTGGATACCAGCCTGTGGAAATTCTGATTCAGTTAGTCTGGGGTTGGGTTCCAGAGTCTGCATTTTTCAAAGTGTTCCCCAGGTGATTCTGCTGAATAGCCATGTTCTTAGAGTTCCACAAATCCCCATACCCTGTGGCTCACTCATCTCCCAGTTCTAAGCTATTTATTGCATTGAGTATTTAGGTAACATCAATTTGTCATTTATTCAGTGACTACTTGTTACCAAATATATGTAAAAGACGTCAAAAATTGATGGCTTGCTCTGCTTTCAAAATTTCCTAACAGAAAAGCAGTGGCTACCTTTCTTAAATTAACAATAAAGCAATGTTTTCTTCACAATCAGAAATTTCATGGTATCATCTCTTCATAATGTAAGTAAAGTATGTGTGAAGTCACAAATTCTATACAATGAGAGAACTTGGTTTTACAAAAAAGCTATTCTTATTTCCCTAAATAGGAGTTAATTTATCCTGACCTATTCTGTCTGCTTCTCAGAGAGGTGGGGCATGGATATTGTCCAAGATAAAGTAGAAACTGTAACTTTTACCATAAAGGTCAAATGCACCACTGTGAATTGTGAGCTGAATTTGAAATTTGGATTTATATCTGGAGATCTTGGAAGTGATAGTACTGTTGACTGCCTTTTCAGAGGGTTGGTGGCTGGACTGGGATATGGCAAACATTGAAACACCCTGGGTTCTAGTCACCTTACTGAGCAGCTGGATGCACTACAAAGTTATTTCTCCTTTCTGGGTCTCCATATCTTTATCTTTCATTGAGACATTGTATCCAATGAAGTTGTTCTCAAGCTGGAGGACTTGGAAATCCCAAAAAATACTGAATTAGAAGTCAAAAGCGGTCACTTTGGATGTTCATTTGGGGTCAAGATATTCAAAACAACAAACATAAAAATTGAGCATCAAAATTACATGTCAGAACTTGATAACAAGGGTGGTAATCTTAATAGACACATTATTTTTACAATTTAAATAAAAATGGATTTTTTCTTAGAGTTGTTGAGATGCCAAGTTAAGAAACAATATATCTGAAGTTTCTTCCAGCCATGTCTGATTTTCCAGCTATGTCAAGTTCTTCAGAATGGGGCCAGGAGCCTGGCTGCTACCAGATCATCTTCAGGCAATCAGTCTCCTCCTGTTGACCATAGATAAAGTACACTTCTGAATTCTCCCTACTAGATATAAAGGTTAGGTCTACAGATAACAAGGTGTTTAAGAACTCTGATCTCCTGAGAACACATAATGTGCCAAATATCCTGCTAGGAATTATTGGGAGGTACACAAGAAAGGGAGAGTGTGTGGTCTCTGCCCACCTGTGGTTTGCCATCTGCCACCCTCTTGCATTTTCTGTGCTCCTACAACTTGCCAGGAGCTAGACTATGTGTAGAGTCACACGGAAGCAACTCCTTTTGCTTGGAGTACCCCACACACCTTGCCTTCTTGGAAACCCCTTGGTCATTTTTCAAAACTCAGTTTTCCATATCACTTTTATCTTATAATGATCACTCTTGGTAGGGCTGGAACTCCTTTGTATTCTTACCGTACCTGGGTATGGTGCGATTGTAGCTCTTGTCATACCTCATTTGTATCTTTCCTGAACTAGACCATGAATTCCTTATTTCTCAGTTTCCTAAACCTGCCACTAACTAGTGCTCAATACTTGCTTATAGAGGGAATCAATGTGTCAATGGCTAACTAAAACCCAGAGATGTTCAAATTCTATTCTGTCATCGATTCTCTGAGATGGAGGAGGCTGGGTGGGTGGGTGCAAGTTTCAGTTAAAATAACTCCTAGCTTCCCTTCCTTTTCATTTTAGCAATGCCAGGCCTGACATCTCCTTTCAGCATCATCCCTGATTACTCTCTCCCTCCCTAATTAGAAATGTCCTTAGGTATTTCATTCTAGGTGCATACTTTTTTTGTTTTTTGGATGTGCTGTTTTCAATCTCATGTCCTGTGCATCATCTGATGATGATGATCTGATGATAATTGCAGAGCCTGCAAAACAAATTCTCACAGAAGGGAAAAGGTGCCTTCTGAAGGTCTAATGAACCCTTCAGGTGACAAGATAAAGTCACAAACCTCCCTTTCATGCCTCTGCACACTGAGGCTCAATAACACATTCAGCTCTGTGGTTGGTCTGCTGATTCTTGTAGTTGTTGTTGTTACCGCATAACCTATAATGTTCTAAAATGTTAATTGCAATTTCTCCAGTTGTCTTCACAGCAGACCTGTAGCCTCATTTTGCAAATGAGATTGAGAATGGACAGGGACCCGTTCAAAGTTCCAGAGCTGGAAAGTGACTTGGGAATCTGACATATTTGGATCTGGCTTTCTAGCTGATGTTCTTTCTAATTTGGCACAGTGTCACTCAGCTATGACTAGTTTTATTGGATGTTTATTTGCTGTCCTTTCCCCTCTGTTTGGATATTTCATAAAGATATCTCTTTTCAATTCCTGACCTATTCTATATGGTCTGGTTCTAAAATGGAGGAGTTGAACACTAAGGATAACTCAGCCCTGTCCTTTCGTCAAATATGGAACTAAATCCTTTCTGTGCACCTAGAGATGTATTAGGCCCTTTAGGAGATATAAAGATAAATAGGTTAGTTTTGCCTTCAGAGAGCTCACACTCTATAATGGGAACAAAATAACTTCAGAATTCATGATGACACAAAGCAGTATGTTAACACTGCCATGAGAATGTCTATATGATCTGTAACAGGGGGTTGAAGGTGTAAGAATTCTCATTTGCTTGACATGGTCAATGAAGGCTTCATAAAGGAGACAACAAGGAATTAGACCATGAAAGATGGAGAAGCTTTCCAATGACATCAGTCAGGGGAGGACATGTGGGGACAGGTAACAAGATAAATAAAGACCTCCATTTGCGAAGATATAGAGCATGGAGTAGGAATGAGAAATGTTTTGAATTTCTGGATTACAGCATGAATTAAAGCAGGAATTGGAGATAAAGTGAGAATTATAATGTTAGCATTGGATTGCAGAAAGCTTTGAATGCCAAGTTTAGGTAATTGGATTTTAATATTATTAGAGACTTTGTAATTTCCTTCTTTCTTTCTTTCTTTCTTTCCTTCCTTCCTTCCTTCCTCTCTCTCTCTGTCTTTTTCTTTTTTCTTTCTTTCTATGGAGTTTCACTCTTGTTGCCCAGGCTGCAGTGCAATGGCATGATCTCGGCTCACCACAACCTCCACCTCCCAGGTTCAAGAGATTCTCCTGCCTCAGCCTCCCAAGTAGCTGGAGCTACAGGCATGTACCACCAACCCTTGCTAATTTTGTATTTTTAGTAGAGATGGGATTTCTCCATGTTGGTCAGGCTGGTCTCAAACTCCTGACCTCCAGTGCTCCATCCACCTCGGCCTCCCAAAGTGCTGGAATTACAGACATGAGCCACCGCGCCTGGTGAGATTTTGTGATTTCTACAGTTTTATTCGGCAAGAGAGCCCCAGACTGTGGAGAGTGTTTTTAATTGTGTTACTTGAAAGGCGATTAATTGGGCAAGACTGTGGAGGGCAAACTGGAATGGGGGAAGAACTGGAGGCAGAGAGAACAGTCAGAGGTTTGTGCAATGGATTAAGGTGAGAGGTGATGAGGACCTGAAAAAGAATGGGGGTGGTAGGAATGGAGAGGAGAGGTGCTTGACATCTGGTCTTTTCACTCCAACCACAGGCATCATTCCTTAACTCTGTTGTGGAGCTTCCAATAAGTAATATTTCTTTTTCTTTTTCTTTTTTGTTTTTGAGACAGAGTGTCACTCTGTCACCCAGACTGGAGTGCAGTAGCGCAATCTCGGCTCACTGCAACTTCTGTCTCCTTGGTTCAAGCAATTCTCCTGCCTCAGCCTCCCGAGTAGCTGGAACTACAGATGTGCATCACCATGTCCAGCTAATTTTTTTTGTGTTTTTAGTAGAGATAGGGTTTCACCATGTTGGCCAGGCTGGTCTCAAACTTCTGACCTCAAGTGATCCGCCTGCCTCGACCTCCCAAAGTGCTGGGATTACAGGTGTGAGCCACGACACCTGGCCTCAGTAAGTAATATTTCTAGTGGAAGCTCCATTTGGTATAATTATAGCTGCAAAATATTCACTGATCCCTTTCCAGCTTCCACTGAGGCAAATAGAGAATGCCTTACTCTGAGAAAGTTGTACAGAGCTCTCTTTGTCTTATAGATGGTTAGAGAATATAAATGGATGGAAATCATCTACCAACCACCCTGCTTTTTAAAAGAATAGCAACTGCATGGAAGAAAATATATTGGAGACTAGGCTAGGGCATGATTAGGGTTGGGAATGCTGGAAAGAGCCTCTGATTGAGAATCATAGGATAGAGGTTTTGTAATGGCTGTGTCTCTATCTAACTGTGGCTTTGGCAAGCCATTCACTCTTTCTAAGCTTCAGTATCCACCCAGATCAAGTGATGGAGTTGGGGTTCAGGGGTTTTTAACTTTTCTCAATGATGGAGCTTTTGGTTTAAATAAATTCTTACGAGGAGTCCAAGGTATGAAACAGATGCATGAAAAATGTAGTGAAGAGGCTGCAGTGAGGAGCTTGAATCCTAGCTTACTCAGCCTCTGTATAAACGCTTCTACCCCTAGTCTCTGGGGATCCATGAAACATTGTAAGAAATTATTGGTTGATCTCACATGTTCCTTTAAGGTCATTGTAGTTATACATGAGTCTCCAGGCAAAAGTTACACATTGAGTTCCTAACATCTTTGTGTTCTTGAGTTTGTTCGAAAGGTGAAGTAGGTAGTGAAGCTATATTCCTTACACAATGGCTTTCTTTTAATTCCTCAAACATCTCCAATTTATTCTTTGATAAGTCACTCCTCCAAAACATCCTTTCTCTATATTTTTGCACAATTTACTGCTTTCTCATTATTTAAATCTCTAAATAAATATGTTTCCTAAGAGTCCTTCCTTTAGAAGCCGACTTACTGGGAAGCCCCTCACTTGGATTGTTGCATTCCAAGGCCCTGGGAGAGACCCCAGCAATGTTCTCACATGAACATATGTTTTTGTAAAATTTGTAAAATTTCTACGTCGCACAAACCAAAACAAAAGAACAAAATCCCCCCACTCTATACATAAAATGAAATCGCAAATATCAAATTGAGGGAAAAAATTGCAACTCCTATCCTAGACAAAAGGTTAATTTTCTTAATATAAAGAGAGCTGCTGGCTGGGCGCAGTGGCTCACACCTGTAATCAGCACTTTGGGAAGCCACGGTGGGCAGATTGTTTGAGCCCAGGAATTTGAGACCAGCTTGGGTAACATGGTGAAACCCTGACTCTACAAAAATAAAAATAATTAGCTGAACATGGTGGCATGTGCTGTAGTTCCAGCTGCTGAAGGCTGAGGCGGAAGGATCACTTGAGCGTGGGAGGCAGAGGTTGCGGTGAGCCAAGGAGTCTGTCTCAAAAAATATAAATAAATAGATGAATAAATAAATAAATAAAAAGGAAGTGCCACAATTAAGACCAACACAGAGATACCATTTCAAACCAATCAGATGGGCAAAAATCCAAAAGTTTATAAAATACTTTTCTGATGGATTTTTGAGAAAACACCTCATGAAGTACTAGTAGGAGTAAAAGTTTACTACCACAAAGGAAGGGAATAAAGCAAATTTTATCAGTTCCTCTAAGGCAGTGAGCTTTCCAATGCAAAATGGAATACATACAAGGTTACTCATTGTTTATACTGGCAAACACCTAGAAACCAGCTAGATTTCCATCAATAGAGGATTGATCATATAAACTATTGTTCACTTCTACAGGAAAGTAGTATGTGGTAAAATGAGAAACTCTAGGCACTGTCATGGAAATGTGTCTAGGATATATTTTTAAATAAAACAAGGAATATTTAGTACAGTATATATAGTATACTATATAAGGAAGGGGAGGATATAGTATAATACTGTATTTGCTTGTATTTGTGTAAGCATTTGAATGATACCCAAGCAGCTAAAGCTAAGCCATTTTTAGTTCATGCAAGGGAAGGGTGATGAGAGATGGAATGGTGTGGACAGGGACAAAGGAGAAATGAGGAGACTTTCCAATGAGTAACACATTACAGTGCTTTGGTGAATACGTTAATAATTTACTTTTCCAAAAAGTAAAATAAAAGAAATCTCAGCAGTGGCACATACTTTTAAAGTAACTTTCAGTAAGTTATTTAAAGTTCTTGAACCTCAACTTTCCCATCTATGAAATGGAGAAAACAGCATCTACGCAGAACTTTCAATTATTCACACAAATCAAGCTCTTTCTTGATTCCAGACATTTTCATGTCTGTGCCTTCTGTGTGGAATGGGCTATGCCTGGGCTTTGGAGAACTGCATCTCATCGCTGGACACTCCACTCTAATATGTAATATAGTCTCTGTCCCACTCATTTGTTTCTGGCCTATTTCTCTACTTCATTTTCTTCATAGCGTCTTATCATTAGCTGAACTTCACGCTCTCTCTCTCTCTCTAAATTTTTTTAGAACCATGCTCCATGTCCAAGACATTTTTTTAATGAATGAATAAATGTTATACTCAATGCAGACTGCGTAGAAGAGGCTCAGTTACTTTTAGCTATTTCTATCATTGGGTACACAGCAGGGGTCATACTGTATTGGACAGTATTTCCACACTTCAGTTATCCAAGTTACTAGCTTGTAAGAATATATTTATTTCTTTCTATAACCTCGAAGTAAGACTTAATTTAGATGGATAGCATTTGGAGTAAGAACTAAAGAAATTTAAAAGACTTTCTAAAAGGAAGGCCACCATCTCACTCCCTGAATCAAACTTTTACATTTAATTAGACCTCTGGTGTTCTCTCGGACTCATTATTGTCTTATTTTGACTTTGGTGTGAAACCAAAGAACCATGCCCTCTCTACAATATGGGCTAAGAATAAAAGCAGCCCCACAGCTTCTCCTACCTTGGCATCAGATCATGGCCCCTAATTGTTTGCATGTCTTATTATAGAGAGGAAGCTCAATTATCTCCTCCTCCTGCAGAGTATTGGGAGAGAAACTCCTTGTCTGTTTCCTCTTTTTTCCCCTTCAAGAAAGGTAATATCTTTGTACTTGATTTCACCTTAGGAATGGAAGCAGGAGAGAAAAACGATGCACAAGTGCACACGCACACACACACACTCACACACATTTAAATTTTTGCAAATATTTTTTAGCAGCTTTTTTTTTCTGGTTTTCTAGACAAATATTTAGAATGACATAAGGGAGTTAAACCCCTGAACATAACATGTTTCATGTGTACAGTGATGTAAGTTAAGTTCTCCCTAATTCACATATTACTTCCTTTGAACTCCCTTTCTCTATGCCCAAGCACAATGGGGCCTCTGAGAGACATGTTCTCATGCTTAATTTAAAATGTATATTATAATAATCTTAAATTATATGTAAATACATGAGTATGTGTGTGTGTGTGTGTGTGTGTGTGTGTATTTTTCAACAAAATGAGGTGGAGAGGTGAACTATTTTCTATCCATTTTGCCTAATATCAGTAGCTTCTCTGGCTGATTCCCGGCCCCTGAGTAGCAAATTTTGAAGTGTTCATTATTTGTTTGATTACTTTAATTTCCCACCAGACATATATAGAGTGGAATAATGAAGGAAATGAGCGGGGAGATTTATGTACAATATTATAAACGCCATACAAGGGAATTTTAAAATATTCTGCTTTGTACTTTGGAGCATAACAGAAATTTCTAAGGTGTGAGTTTGGAGAGGCATATGCTCTCTGCAAGATTCATTTCATCCCTAACCTTGTCTGGCAGTGTGTGTATCTGTCTGTGTTCTATTTCTTGTTCACCTGGCACATGAGGAAATAGCTCTGTGCAGGTGCCGCTTTCATGGATCAGGGAATTGTAGATGATCAAGTGACTCATTTCAGGAAAAGGTATTGAAGCCAAACCTTATGATTTTCCTGCCTAAACTTTCCCAGCCTGAAATAAACTGATTTCTGATAAGCCAGAGGAGAACCCAGACAGAAAAATCGGTTGTGCCTGAGGCACTACTCCATTGGATTATAAAATGTTCAAGGCTGGGAATGTGTCTTGTTCAAGTTTGCACTCTTCATTGGCATGTAGTGGTCAATGAGTTGGTGGTTATTTTTTAGTATTTATAATAACAATGCCTTAAGTTTACAAAGGTCTTTGAAATACAGATCTTTCTTTCTCTCTCTTTCCTTCTTTCCTCCCTCCCTCCTTTCCCTTCTCCCTCTCTTTCCTTCCTTTTTTCCTTCCTTTTTCCTTTCTTCCTTTTTTCCTTCCTTCCTTTTTCTTTCCTTCCTTCCTTCCTCCCTTCCTCCCTCCCTCCCTCTCTTCCCTCCTTTTCCTTTTCTTTCTGTCTCCTCTTCTCTTCTCTTCTTCTCTCTCTCTCTCTTTTATAGAGACAGAGGCCTTACCATGTTGCCCAGGCTGATCTCAAACTAGAATCTTTCATATTTATTATCTTATTTAAAACAAATCCCAGTAGTTTGAGGCTTGTTATATTATTGCTGTTTCACAGATAAGGGATTTCTCAAAGTCACAGAAGAGGTAACAGTTGGTGGTTGTGAGGGCTGGCACCAGCACTTCTGTCTCTAAGTGGACTCTTCTCACTTTGTCTCAATTGCCCCCATTTATTTTAATGACTGGAAGAAAAATGAATGAATGATTGGATGAGTAAAAGAACTAAAGCCAGGACAATTCACCAACCCTCAGGGATGGAGAAGCTAGCCTGGCTAAAGTAGACCCGGACAGAAGATCCATCAGGATCCCCCTGAGAAATACAGGCTGTTGGTATTAGACTGCAAACTACAAATGTAACAGGGAGGGAAACTCATGCGTATTATACTTAGATATGCAAATAATCTGTACTTCTAATTTTTTTCTATAATTAATTGCATCTTTATTATGAGCCCATATAATGCTGAGTAGCAGGGGCTACTACACTGAGTTCAGTTTGTTAAATGCAATTGCACTGCTGATCTCAAAAACCCTGTATTTCAGATGCCTCTTCTCCACACACCTCTCTAGATTGGCCTCTAGAGATATGAGGAAGGGACTTTAGGAGAATTTATGGTGAATGGAATAGGAGAAGTCTCTTGGATTTACATGAGAGCCCTCTGGCTTCCCTGGCTCTTATGGTAACTTTATTGTCAACCTAGTTGAGTCTCACCTTACTGGCTTCCTTAGCTGGTGATGCCCTGCCCTCTTCTTTAAGCACAGTCAGGAGAACAAGAACTGTGTTCTTCCCTGTCTCCAAGTTCTCGCTTTGGTTCAGCTGGTGATGATAGCTTGTGTTACAAGAACAGGTGCAGAAAGTTTTGAAAGGCTCAGATATCTGCCACGTTAGTTCATAGACAGGTCAATATAGCTAGGTGTTTAAAGCAAACTAGACCTCAGATTTTTCCTACTGTTAGGCTTAAGAGAGTACCTTCTATCCACCACTCCACCTTATAATATCTCTGTCCAAATTAGCTTATGCTGAGTTAAGAGTTGGAAGGGAGAAGAAGTGATGAAAATTCTTTTGATTAGTCAATGAATTTAGGGGGAATGGCCAGGAGTTCTGCTAAGAGGATTTGATTAACATCACTAAGAGGAATCTTGAGGAGGCTTCAAAGATCAGGGACTCAGACTCCTGAAGAAAATACCATAACCATTCTCTCCTACCCACCATCCAACTTTGCAAGATGTTCTCTTTATAGGTGAAGTGACCTCTCTGAGTTAGACAAGCCATGAGGTACTCTGGCTCCTGGACAGTGAGTGGATATTGATTGGAAAGGAACATTTGGGGTTGACTCAGAGTTAAGAATCTCAGTCTCTTAACCTATCCCAGCAAAATTTATTCCAAGTTCAGAGGAAGAATGAGTACACTACAAGAAATTAGTTAAAGCAATTAAAAATATAAATGGATATTTACTGAATACCTACCATGTGCCAGGCACTATTCTAGGCACTGAGGGAAAAACAATGGGGCTGGAGGGAGGAGTGAGAAGGAAAAAAAAAAAAAACAACAGACAAAATTATCCAACTTTCTGGAGCTTCTATTCCGGAAGGGATTTCAGATAATAAATAACATAACTAAATAAACTATGCAGCACATTAGTGATAAATATAGAAAGAAATAAAGGAGGAAGGAGGATACAGGTAGAGTGGGGAGTGCAATTTAAATTGGTTTGAACAGAGAATATCTCACTGAGATGACATTTGAGCAAAAACTTGAAGAAGGTAAAGAAGCGAGCCACGTGGTTGGATATCTGAAAGAAGAGAATTCCAGTGAGAAGGTAGTACTGTTTCTGGTATATGTTAGAAGCACAGGACGGAGATTACTAGAGCTGGAGGGTACTGTCTGGTGAGGAGAAAATCTGTAAATGAGGCTAAAGAAATAAAGGAGTAGGGCCTTGATCATGGAAAAGGCTCTTGGTTGTTTCCCAGGTGAGATGGGAGCCCTTGAGCCCTTGAGCACAGGAAGGACCTGGTCTGATTTCAAGAATCATTTGTTTGCTGTGCTGAGAATTGATTCTCTCTACTATTCTAGGAGAAAAGTAGAAGCAGATAAACCAGTTAGGTTACTGTCACAATAATTCTAGTGAGAGAGATATTAGTAGCTTGGGATTGGGTAGCAGCAAGAGAGAGTGGGAGAAATAATTAGATATGGATATATTTTGTAGTAGAACCACTCAATAGCATGGATTGGATGTGGGGTAGAAGAAAAATAGGAAAATCAAGGATGTCTTCAAAATTTGTGGATTAACTAGAAAAATGGAATCACTATTAAGATGTGGAAGGCTTTAGGTGCGTTAGGTTAAGGGAAAGATTAGAAGTTGGTTTTTGCACATATTAATTTTGAGATGCCTATAAAACATCCAATAATTATTTGTTGAGTAGGTATTTGGAGTCTGACTTTAAGGGACAAGTCTGAGCTGGACATATAAACTTGTAAATCATCAGCACATAGATGGTTTTGAAAGGCATGAAACTAGATGAGATCATCAAGAGGGTGAGTGTAGACAAAACAAAAATGTAATAACATGGCTGAGCATTTTTTAGCATCCCAGGCCTTTAAATCCAGCTCTCAGCTGGAGATACCACTTAGGTATCTCCAGGCATCTCAAATTTAACAGGTCCAAAACTCAGTGCATTATCTGACCTCTTTCAAAACTTGCTATGTAAGCACAGTACTGATATTAAGTTGAATGATTATAGTAGGCTCTATTTTTTGAGTGCTTACATGTCTGGCATTTTGCTAAGCACTTTACATGCATTATTTAGTTTAATCCTTACAGTATCATGTTAAGTAGATATTACTATTTTCTTTCTATAGCAGATAAGAAAAGCGAGGCCAGAAAGTTTGAATAAATTGCCCAGGGACACACGACTAGTAAGCGGTGAAGTTTGATGGTAATCCCAGGTCTCTTGAATCCAGACCTTATATTTATAACAACCAAGTCATATAGTATCTTGATATTCAGGAAAAGTAAGTCTAGAGACTTTCCTAAATTTTTAGTTTTGTAACTTGTTTTGCATTATGGGGTTCTTTGATAATCTGATGAGAACTATAGATAATTCCCCTGGAGATATGCACATATGGGAAGAGAGCTAACACTTTGTATTCAATTTCAAGGTTCAATAGACACCTTCAGATCCATCCATGGACCTTGTCCACTTAAATATCAGTGGGACCTCCACAAAAAAATTTCTGCATCATGTCCCCCCATAATTTCTCTCATAAATGGCAATTTCTCTTTTAGTAACTTACTAAAAAATTTAATTGACCTTTTTTTAGGCTTTCATTTATTTACTTTAAAAGATATATATTCAGACAGGTAAATACTATAGACTTGTATAAACCTCATTTCTACCCTACCTCTATTCCTATCTACTCTATCCCATCCCCCAAATCTCATATTGAAAATGATGTAGTACTTTTCCTTAGTTCAGCTAAAGATGGGGTCTTGTCCCACGGCCAAGAAAATTTAGGCTTGCAGATGATTTTAAGGGTGAGTGAGGTAGGGTTTCACTGGGGGAAAAGGAAAAAAAGGGGAACAGAGAATCTCTGCAAGGCCAGAGTTACTGCTAGTGTGCTTCCTGCCTGTCAGCTTGAATCCCAGGTTCCACACAGGAAGATGAGGGGCTGCAAATGGTGCAAACTTCTGTGACTATATCCCATTGTACATTCCTCCTAGTACGCAGGCTGATTGGAAGCTCTGCCAGGGAGTCCTTCTCACCTGGCTGTCCCAGCAACAACTTCTATTACTTCCTTTAGTATCTGTCCAGTGTTTCTTTAATGTAAATATAGGCATGAATTTAGTTGTTGGTCCCCACTCCATCTCTTTCTTATATAAAGGTAACACAGTATGCTCATAATCCTTTGCTTTGCTTTTATTAATATATCCTGGGTTTCTTTCCAGATCAATAGGCAGAGAGCTTCTTCATTCATTTTTAATTGCAATCCGTCTACCAGTCTCTTATGAATGCACATTTGGGAGCTTTCTAATTTTTTCTCCTTTAAACAATGCTGCAGTGAATAACTAACAAAAGTCATTTTGAACATATGCAGGAATATCTATCAGATAAAGTCCTAGTAGTAAGATACTACTAGATACAAGTCAAAATGTAAATGCATTTGCATTTTTTAAACCATTTCTCAAGGCATTATTGCCATATGGAAAGTTGTATATATTTAATGTATTCATCTCAATAGGTTTTGGAATAAAAGCACACATCAATGAAACCATCGCAATCATCCAGGCCATAATTATATCCATCACCTCCCAAAGTTTCCTTCTGCTCTCTTTATTATTATTATTTTGTGGTAAGATAAAATAATAACATAATGTAAAATCTACCCCCTTAGCATTTTAAAGTATACAATACAGTATTGCTTGCTATAGGCACTATGCTATATGTTGGATCTCAGGTATTAAATTCTCCTGCATAACTGAAACTTTGTCCCTTTAACCATCACTCCTCATTCTCCCCTCTCCCCAGCTCTTGGCAACCACCATTCTACCCTCTGCTTCTATGAGTTTGACTATTTTAGATTCCACATATAAGTGAAATCATACAGTGTTTTTCTGTATCTGACTTATTTTACTTAATGTATAACCATGTTGCCACAAATGGCAGAATTTCTCTCTTTCTTAAGGCTGACTAATATTCTGTTGTACGTATATACCACATTTTCTTTATCTACTCATCTGTCAATGGATAAAGAACAATGGATATTTCGCATTTATAATTTTGATAGATATTACACAATTGCATTCCTTAGAAGTTGAAACATACTGCACATTCATTATAGCAATGTGAGAGAGTGCCTGTTTCTCTACAGTTTCCCCAGAAGCTGGTGTATTATTAAGCTTTTGAATTTTTACCAAATAGGTGAGAAATGCTATTTCTGTGTAGTCTTAATTTTCATTGTATGAGAGGGATGAGTATCTTTTCATAAGTTTAGGGCTGCAGTTACATTTCTTTTTCTGAGAACTTTCTGTTCTCTACTTTTCAGTTGGTTCTTTGGGCATTAACATTTCTATAAATATAAGACTAAAGTAATGGATAAAGTTACTAAAATAAAGAAGACTATTAAAATTTATTTCATGTGGCATTGTTGAAGCATTTTTATTTAATTTTATTTATTTATTTTACTTTAAATTCTGGGACACATGTTTTATCTGGGATACATGTTTTAATACATGAAAAAATACTGGCATTATTATTCTTTCCTTTTTTTATACTGTCAATATACCCTCACTAAGTTCTTATTGTTCTCTCTTGGCATCATGGGGGTTTTCCTAAATGGTGAAACAAGTCCAGCTTAAAATGAAGACTTCAGCATTGTCCTAAAGAAGATGAGTCACTTTTTACCTGCTTTAACCCAGAAGCTCATCTGTCTTGGGGATATTTGTGTGCCAAAGCACTTTCATCTACTGTAGATATATGCTGTCTGTGTTGATCATTTATTTTGGTTTCTAACCTCCTCTGCAATGGGCCACTTTGGCTTTTCAGTTCAGGAAAAACATAAAAACAAAAATATCTGATAAATCAGGAAAGTCAGTCAATGTTCTTTGTTTGATTATATGAAGCAGGGAAAACAGCCCTTAAAATTCTCTTACCAACTCAGTGGTAAACTTCTACTCAATAGTAAACTTGGATTAGACAAGCTCACTAGAACATTTTACTATGTGTAATTTAAGAATGTGTATTGCCAAGTTTCTGACTTTGTCCTGAAGTACATTTCTACTAAGAACCATTTGTTTTCCTGTGCTAATCCTGGCATGAAAAGTAAATCACCTTTTCAGATTTCACTACTGTTGTATCTCTCACTTGACAAGTAGCTTTTTCAGCGTTGGCAATGCTCCTGAAATAGTTCTATTAAATTTTTCTCCTATTTCTGTGTAAGCAGCATTTGAATTTATTCAACTTGTAGATATAAGCTTTTACTAAATTTGATTTTCCATTTTTACATTACAGCAAATCTTTTGTTTTCAATCTGAGAACGATTACTTTTACTCTTTATTATTCTTTGCTTCCATCTCCAATACCAGAAGTTGGCTTTCTTTTCAAGGCCATTTAAAAAATCACCCCCCCCCACCCAAAAAGAGAAAAAGAGAGGTTCATAAGAGAGGTTATGTGAGTTATCATATTCACACTGAATATAAAACAACAAAGCCTCATACTTACGGGCAAATGGTTAGGCTCACTCATCAGCTCAGTGATTCCCCCTTGTATAGAATGTAAGATAAAAATTTATGATACAAGAAAATTAAAGATGCCTGCAGAGGAAGTCTGGCAAGATTGCCTCCAGGTCCTTAGTATACTAAGGGAGTATGTGTCTAAAGACCCTAAACCTTAAAATATGATGTGCTCATCCTCACAAACTGCCAAATGACAACGGGCCTTTTATTCCTATAAACTTCCATTATCCTGCTACTGATGTAAAGATGAATTTCATGTTAATCATTAATGTCTCTATTTGTGTCAGGAGCCTCCCTGTCTAGACATTTTTTAGCTGGAGGGATAGCGGCTGCAAATTAGCCATGCAGTCACGCAGCACAGAAGTTCCGTTAGCGTAATGAACCTCTTGGGACTGGGATTGAGAACTGCAGGGACAGCAGCATCTCTGTGTGTCCCCTGCTGCCACTCGCCATTTTGGTAGAGTCAATACGATGCCTTTTTAATCACAATTTTGTTTCAACACATTTTGATCTGTTAATGGGCATTCATATGTCTTTGGTGAATATCTTGCTTTTTAAAAACATTTTCAAAGGAAGAAACTGTTTTTTACATTTACCAAAAGCCTATTAAGTGCAAATTCAAAGTGCCTATTTTCCACCTGTCCTCTGTTATTTTCTAGCACTCGCAACTTACAGGAGCCACTCACTTTTCTACTTTAGAAAAATTTTTCTTCTCATTTCTGCCCATACCTTCCCTGATCTCTCTTGTCTTTTGGTATTTCTCCCCTCCATCTGATGAGCTGCTCAGTTGTCATACATTTTCTGGTTTCAGCTCCCCGGAGAGGGCGGTTTATTTTCCACTCCGATTTTCTTGCAAGGGTCTGTTCATCCCACTTCTGACCTTTCTTTTTTGGAGACAGAAAAAGGAGGCATAGCATTAAATTGACCACGGCTAAATGTTTTGCCTGGACTGGGGAGCTGAGAAGAGAAGGCTGTAAATCTAGATATGAGGACTGTTTTTGTTCATCACACTCTTGCCATGATCAATCTTTGTGTATTCTTGTGGAGTGACATCCATGCCTAGTTTGCTTCTGTAGCCTTTTATTGAATTGCGAGCTTATCCCTGATGATTCTGGAATTGCTGGGCAGAGTCTGGCTGAAAACATTATCGTCCCTGCAAAAACCCTGGGCTGCGAAATAGTTTTGTTTAAGAGTAGATTTGTTAGAATTAGGCTTCCCTCTCCATGACCAGATTCTTTGCTATGAGCAGGAAATGAAATAAAGAGGAAAGCAGCCCTAGATATTTATCTCTAACTCCACTGTATTGGGATTTAGTCCATGTTTTCTGGGCTTCCCGATCAGAGGGTGAATGTAAATCACTGCGTAACTCTGACCATTCCTTTCTGTGCTGTGTGGGAGGAAACCTGGGGCATGCGGTCTCCAACATGCACTCAGGCTGGCTGTGGTGGGGATGGCATTCACTCATTAACACTTGCAAGGCCCTCCTTGAGGTTTGCTTCTCAGTTCTGCATCCTGTTGTACATGAGATTCACCTTCTGTGTTCCCAAGTCATGTTTACATTCAAGTAGCATTTGGCTCCTTGGCATAGGGATAATTCCCACCCTTATTTAATGAGTCCTGACTATATTGCTGAATCAAAAACTCAGCTTACTTGCTTATGAACTTCCAAGCATTATTGTTTTTGTGGTGGGAAAAAAGACGTGCTGGAGTGCTATAGTGGTTTTTCAAGTCAGGACCTGAATTGTTAAACTGTCATCCAAATCCTAGTTGTAGTCCACCCTGATATACATTGTTTCTAGGACAGTGAGTCAAGCTTTTAGAGAAGCAGCAATTTTAATGGATTCAAGTCCATCAACAGCCCTCAGGAGAAGGCTTGCAAAATATCCCCGAGATATCTCTGGATATGTGTGTCTTTGTGCTGCCTGCTCTGTGTTCCTCCCTTGACTCAAAGTCCTTTCCATTTCTACTGCTGGAGAGTTTACCATGCAAATCCTGCAATCTGGGTAGAAAGCAATTTATGCAAGTAGGCTCCAAAGCTTGGTATGAGGCCAATGCCACACGAGCAGGCGAGGCTCAGAGTGTCCAGTCTTAACCATTGCAAAAGATCAAAAGTGTGTCTGGAAGTGGTGGGTTCTTGGTCTCACTGACTTCAAGTATGAAGCTGCGGACCCTTGCGGCGAGTGTTACAGTTCTTAAAGATGGTGTGTCCAGAGTTTCTTCCTTCTGGTGGGTTCGTGGTCTCACTGGCTTCAGGAGTGAAGCTGCAGACCTTTGCGGTGAGTGTTACAGCTCTTAAAGGCGCGTTTCGGGAGTTGTTCGTCCCTCCTGGTGGGTTCGTGGTCTCGCTGGCTTCACAAGTGAAGCTGCAGACCTTCCCGGTGAGTGTTACAGCTCATAAAGGTGGCGTGGACCCTAAGAGTGAGCAGCAGCAAATTTATTGCAAAGAGCAAAAGAACAAATCTTCCACAGTGGGGAAGGGGACCCAGCGGCAGTGGGTTGCCACTGCTGGCTCTGGCAGCCTGCTTTTACTCCCTTATCTGGCCCCACCCACATCCTGCTGATTGGTCCATTTTACAGAGAGCTGATTGGTCCATTTTGGCAGGGCACTGATTGGTGCATTTACAATCCCTGAGCTAGACACAAAAGTTCTCCAAGTCCCCACTAGATTAGCTAGACACAGAGCACTGATTGGTGCATTTACAAACCTTGAGCTAGACACAGGGTGCTGATTGGTGTGTTTATAAATCTTGAGCTGCACACAGAGTGCTGATTGGTGTATTTACAATCCCTCAGCTAGACATAAAGGTTCTCCAAGTCCCCACTAGATTAGCCAGACACAGAACATTGATTGGTGCATTTACAAACCTTGAGCTAGACACAGAGTGCTGATTGATGCATTCACAATCCCCTAGTCTTACATAAAGGTTCTCCAAGTCCCCACTAGACTCAGGAGCCCAGCTGGCTTTACCTAGTGGATCCCACAGGGGGCTGCAGGTGGAGCTGCCTGCCAGTCCAGCGCCATGTGCCAGCACTAGTCAGCCCTTGGGCAGTCATGGGAGTGGGTGCCTTAGAGCAGGGGGCGGTGCTCATCGGGGAGGCTCGGCCCGGCAGGAGCCCACTGCAGGGGAGGCTCTGGCCTGGCGGGCTGCAGGTCCCGAGCCCTGCCCTGCAAGGAGGCAGCTGAGGCCCAGCAAGAATTGGAGCACAGTGCTGGCAGGCTGGCATTGCTGGGGGACCCAGAGCACCCTCCGCAGCTGCTGGCCCAGGTGCTAAGCCCCTCACTGCCGGGGGCTGGCGGAGATGGCTGGCTTCTCCAAGTGCGGGGCCGCCAAGCCCACGCCCACCCAGAACTCGTGCTGGCCCACGATTGCTGCACGCAGCCTGGGTTCCCGCCCGCGCCTCTCCCTCCACACCTCCCCCTCCACACCTCCCCTTAAGCAGAGGGAGCTGGCTCTGGCCTCGGCCAGCCCAGAGAGGGGCCCCCACAGCGCAGTGGCGGGCTGAAGGGCTCCTAGAGCATGGCCAGAGCAGACACCGAGGCTGAGGAGGCGCTGAGAGCGAGTGAGGGCTGTGAGGGCTGCCAGCATGCTGTCACCTCTCAAAAGGTTTCATCTGTAGCAGGGACAGAAACAGTTACATCCCGTTTGCACCTGGGAGCAGCACAGTTATTGAGGCTGGAGAGAGAACTCACTAACTCCAGCAACAGACATAAGAGTAGTCAGCCATGAGTTGGGTATTGGTGATTCTCACAACTAACTCTGGCTCCAGGAGAAAGAGCAGGAATCAGTCTCAATTGAAGCTGGAGTTCAAGAAGATTTCAGACACATTCTGAGTCCCGATAAAGGCTGAAAGGGAAATATTTGAATGCGGGGGAAGGTAGGGATGAAGAGTGGAAATGGAGCCAAATATACTGTTTCTGTCTTTGTTTTAACTGTTTAATTCTTAATTGTCTTCTTCTGGTTTGAGGAAGCGCTGTTATATACATAAATACAAGATTAATCTTAGCTGGTCTACTGCAATCCTATGTTTATTTCCAGGGATGCTTGGAGCCATTGTTGTCTGGAGGGAGGACTGACTTATTTCCAGAGATTCCTGGAGACACTGCTGGAACCTTAGCCAAATCAGAATAAGCTCAACTAACTGGTGACAAATATTCCTGTGCTAGGACCTGAGACAGGCCAAGTGAGAGATCTGTAGTAGTTTATTAGCTTTGTTCATTAAAAAAACAACAAAAAATTCCAGATTGGTGTTTTTTACCTAGTTTCTACTATGTTCTCTTTGTTTCTTCTGTTCGCTTTTGTCATGCAGCCCAGTTTTGGTTATGAGACCAGACAGATATGAAAGACCACTCCTTGGACAAGACTGTGATTCTCCAGAGCTCAAGTTTTCTTGTATATATCTTAGTAGTTCATGATTCAGATTAAAATCGCATCCTAATCAATTGAGAAATGATCCTGGAAGCTGGGTCTGAAGGTCTTGGACTTTTCTGAGGTTTTCTGTGCTTTCCCCCCACCTACTTTAGAGTATCCTTTACTTTATTAAGACTGTACTCTGTGGAGTCTCATGAGTCGTTTCAGTTGTTCAGCCCTGTGTATTGATGCATCATGTTAGTTTTGTGTTCACTCTGGAATGTGATACAGTAAAAGGTCTATATATTTTTTTCAACTCATCTAAATTGTCTTAGGTCTAGCTGGACTTGATCAAATGGCAATTGAGAAAGTCAGGCTTTAAGTAAGCCAGATATCTGGCTTTTGATTCTCCTCTTTCTCACTGTCTTCTCCTCATTCCCCTTAGATATAGAATACCCTCATAATTTTTCTAATATCCTCCCATCAATGCCTTCTGTGGATTGCTCTAAGAGACTTCCCTAATTCTTTTCTACCCCATTTTCATTAAATAAAATTAGTTTCCAGCCCTCTGCAGCTACAAGACTGTGTTTTTACAAAACTGCTATGACGCATCACATCCTATTAAATCATTCTCTCACCTGATAGACTGTGAAATCTGTGAAAACAGAAGTCCCGTCTTACTCATTTCTAATTCTTAGCCCTGTCTTATAAGAGCAGGAACTCTTTAAATGCATTATCAAAGAAGTCAATGAATTAACAACTAGCTCTTTATAGATAAAGAAGTTCTTTTACTTTGAAGAGTTATTCAAGTGTTGACCGACTGGCAACATTATCTCACAGGTGTAGTTGTATTCCAAATGTAACAATGGATAAAACCTTAAGCTAAAGTAATGCTATTTTAATCGTGGCATGTCACATGTTGACAGACTCTAGGTAACTCAAGTGTTTGCATATGTTTTTAGTGGGGGCACCAGGGACTTTCAGAGAAACTTCAAATGGAGACACATAGATTCTTTTGACCATAAATCCACTTTGGAACCCGGAAATGTCAGTGAATATTCATCTAGTTTAAGTTGGGGTCAATTCTACCCTAAGTGAAATCTCATTATTATTTTTATTGAGGTTATTTTTAGCATGGCACAGGTGGCCACCATGGCATGATAGTCAGTCTAAAGCTCTGCCACCAAATAGCTGCATGACCATGAGTCAGGTTGCTTGTGTGAAATTTTCATTTCCTTATTTGCAAAATAAAAGGTTGAATTCCATAATCTCTGGTGTCTCTGTCAGTTGAATATTTCATGTGACCATGAATACATCATTCAACCAGATACACTTAACTAGAAAGAAGTGCTTTGTGTGAAATCAGTGAGATCAGTCACCTTTCACTGTCTTGGCAAATGGAAGGAAGGAATTGTACATGAAAGATTAACAAGTCACATTTGAACTGGGAAAAAAAAAGAGTGACATTTTCAGTTGTCATTGTATTTGGCCTAAAACAATATTACAGCATATTTGGTTCCTCCTGGAATATACTTACCCCATTGACTTGGTATTCTTTCTGATATCATCCAATTGTCTGATTGCCCATAAGGCTGAGAAAGAGACTACATGGCAAATTAGTAGCCATCATAAAGTCTATGAAGTAGGCGAGTGACCTTTATTTCCATCCTGGCAGAGGACAAAAATAAGAGCGTATTTGTAAGAAAACTGAATACGCCCAAAGCAGATAAGTTGATGTATGAAAGGTAAGTCCCATAGACTTTAGGTGTCATGCGAGGAAGCTTCGTGGTTGCCAAGAGATCTGAAAAAAATTTACTTTGGAGAAATATAGTCCAGGATCTAATTAGGTTTTCAAGTACAGAATCTTGGTCTCAAGGGCAATTGGATTTATGGGTACTGAATTCAGCCAAAGAATATCCAAGATGATACCTAAAAGTCCCCCCAAAGCTCGCAAGAGAATGATACATAGTAGTGGAGTGCCAGGTTTCGTTAGAAATGTATTTTTCTTGGGCAGGGACACTCACGTGGGCCTGATTCATTCTGGCTTCTTGGGGAGAGGCTTTATTGCGGGGGGGTGCCATATGCTGATTTGAAGCTTGGTTGGTGAACATGACATGAGAAGGGAATATTAGTGGCATCTGGCTAGGCTGCCATAAGATTGACACTGCAGAGTTCCCTACTCCATTTTCTGCTTACTCCTTACTGTGTTTTCAGAGATTTTTTTTTTTTTTCGTGGTTCCATTCAGCAAACTCCTCTTCTAATGGATCTGCTCTAATTTAGATAAAGAAAGAATTTGGTCTTATTGCCACCCAGTGTAATAAAACAGATATTTCAAAAGCGACTTTGTATATTGTTCCCAATTATTTTACACTCATTTGTGGTTCTAACCTCAGAATGAGCAATCTTAATTTCCTTTTATTTCAAAGATTTGTTTTGGGTGGGAGGAGGCTGTCGGGGTGGAGATGAGGCATCTTAACTTTCCCTAGTGAACTACCTACAAAACATATGGTAACATTTGCTACTTGATAAACACTAGAATGATTTAATCGGTAAATGCTAGGTGCAATGATGCTTTTTAAATTTGTCATGGTTGTTTTTGGTTCTGCAAGTCAACTAACAATAAGGATTTCAGGAGCAAAACTGTTGTGAGACATTCTGTTCTGAGTTGGTAACAAAGTTCATAATTAGGATATTAGAAGCTCACACAAGAAAAGGAGATACTGTGGCATGGTCAAGATATTAACGGCTGAGTGTCAGGTTTTCTGTTATATTTCGGCAGGAAGAGGAAAGAATTTGCTGACAGGAAAGCAATATAGCCGACCTCTTTGTATGTGGACGTGCTGCCACCTCTTGGTCTTTTCTTGTCATTGACGAGGTTTCAAAAGCTGCTGAATCTAGACTACCATTCCAGTTTTCTGCTCCTGGGATCTTAGTAAGCTCCCAGACATTTTTGCACTAGGATGGGAATCGGAAGGAATGGGTTCTAGTTCCAAAAATGAGAGTAACTTGCTCTGTGATTTTGGGCTACTCATAACTACTGTGGGTGGTGTTTTTCTCATTTGCAAAGAAGCCAAAAATATTGATCATGGTAGCCTAATTTTTTTTATGATTACAATATATTTTTTAAATACTTCAGATGTGTTATAGGACTTAAGCCAAACAATTATATCCACTTGCAATTAAGGAAAATGTGGCAAAGAGAGAGCAAGTAATTTGTTTGTTAAATGGCAGAGCTAGGATTTGACCATGATGTTAAACATGTTTTGCAAAGTTTCTTCCAGCTCTGGTTTTTCTACTTCTTTTCTAATTGAATTAACTTTAATGATCGCTAACACTTATTGACAACTTGCTATTTGGCAACAAACTAGGGTTTTTACATAAGTTCCCTCCTTTAATTATTGTTATAATAGTATAAAACAGATACTATTATCCTTTCTGTTTTATAGAACAAGAAAACTAAGGCTTAGATTAATTGATAGCTGACCACTTTAACTGGTGTGTCCCACTCTTTGTTTATCTTCCTGATGTAGCTGACAATAATATGCTACAAAACTTTTAAAAACTTGTATTTGAAAAAACTATATATATAATTAGTTTTTTTTTCTGTTTGTACAAAAAAATTTTGACAGTCAGTGTAGGGAGGGGGAATACACAGTTTGTTCTAATAAAGATCCAATCCTCAGAAAGAATTATGACTAATAGAAACCTGTGTCATATGATTTATTATGTATATTTGTGAGGTCCACAATGAAAGGGGTTCAGCTAAAATAGTGTGGGGGTTCCAGTGTTCAGGGAGATGACAGCAGTCATATGCACATGCATTCACACTTAGACACATGTACAAACAAAACTCAGTTCCATTGTAAATGTCAGTGAGAAGAAGTTTATCCTATCTTTGGTGTTTCTGAAGAGAGATTTAGGAAATAAAGTATGTAGAACATACAGGAAAACAGTGTACCAATCATGCTAGGTGTCACCTGCAAAGTGTACCCTAGCACTACTCATAAGGCCATTCCAACATTCAGTTGGCTAGTAGCTTCTGGGTGATGTGGCATGAAGGAAGCCATATTGATATTATGGTCATATGCTTATTGCTCTTTTCTCATCATAAACTATGTCCCTTGGTCTGAGATAATGTTAGATGGAATCCCATGATAATATATTAGACACTCTGTGAGCTTTCAAATTATAATATAGACAAAGCATCTGACATAGTTTGAATGTGTCCCCACCCAAATCTCATCTTGAATTGTAATTCCAATAATCCCCACATGTCATGGGAGGGACCCAGTGGGAGGTAACTGAATCATGGGAGCAGGTACTCTCATGATGTTCTCATGATAGTGAATTCTCATGAGATTGATGGTTTTATAAGGGGCATTTTCCCCTTTGCTTGGCACTTTTCTCTCCTGCCACCATGTGAATAAGGATGTGTTATCTTTCTTTTATAAATTACTCAGTCTTGGGTATGTCTTTATTAGCAGTGTGAGAATGAATGAATACAGTAAATTGGTACTGGTAGAGTGGGGTGCTGCTATAAGGATACCCGAACTGTGGAAGCAACTTTGAAACTGGTAACAGGCAGAGGTTGGAACAGTTTGGAGGGCTCAGAAGACAGGGAAATGTGGGAAAGTTTGGAACTTCCTAGAGACTTGTTGAATGGCTTTAACCAAAATGCTGATAGTGGTATGAACAATGAAGTCCAGGCTAAGGCGATGAGGAACTTCTTGGGAACTGTAGCAAAGGTGACTCTTGCTATGCTTTAGCAAAGAGACCAGTGGCATTTTGTCCCTGCCTTAGAGATCTGTGGAACTTTGAACTTAAGAGAGATGATTTAGGGTATTTGGTGGAAGAAATTTGTAAGCAGCAAAGCGTTCAAGATGGAGCAAAGTATAAAAGTTTGGAAAATTTGTGGCTCAACAATGCAATAGAAAAGAAAAGTCCATTTCCTGGGCGGGGGGTTGGGGGCATGGGGAGGGGCGGGGCGGAGAAATTTAAGCCCACTGCAGAAATTTGCATCAGTAACATGGAGCCAAATGTTAATCGCCAAGACAATAGGGAAAATGTCTCCAGGTTATATCAGAGACCTTTACAGCAGCCCCTCCCATCACTGTCCAGGAGACTTAAGAGGGAAAAATGGTTTCATGGGTTGGGCCCTGGGACCCCCTACTCTATGCAGCCTCGGGACATGATGCCCTGCATCACAACTGCTCCAACCATGGCTAAAAGGGGCCAATATACAGCTCAGGCCATTGCTTCAGAGGGTGCAAGCCCCAAGCCTTGGTGGTTTACACATGGTGTTGGGCCTGCAGACACACAGAAGTCAAGAATTGAGGTTTGGAAACCACTTTCCTATATTTCAGAAGATGTAAGGAAATGCCTGGATGTCCAGATAGATGTTTGCTGTAAGGACAGAGCCCTCATGGAGAAGCTCTGTTAGGGCAATGTGGAAGGGACACATGGGGATGGAGCCCCCACAAAGAATCCTCACTGGTGCACTACCTAGTGGAGCTGTGAGAAGAGGGCTACCATCCTCCAGATCCCAGAATAGTAGATTCACCGACAGCTTGCACTGTGTGCCTGGAAAAGCTGTAGACATGAAATGCCAGCCCATGAAAGCAGCCAGGAGGGGAGCTATACCCTGTAAAGCCCCAGAGGCAGAGCTGCCTAAATTATGAAAGCCCACCTCTTGCATCAGCATGACCTGGATGTGAGACATGGAGTCAAAGGATCATTTTGGAACTTTAAGGTTTAATGACTGGCCTATTGGAATTCAGACATGCATGGGGCCTGTAGCCCATTTGCTTTGTACAATTTCTCCTATTTTGAACAGGTGTATTTACCTGATACTTGTACACCCATTGTTTCTAGGAAGTAACTAACTTGCTTTTGATTTTACAGGCTCATAGATGGAAGAGACTTGCGTTGTCTCAGATGAGACTTCGGACTTGGACTTTTGGGTTAAGCCTGGAATGAGTTAAGACTTTGGGGGACTGTTGGAAAGGCATGATTGTGTTTTGAAATGTGAGGCCATGAGATTTGGGAAGGGTCAGGGGTGAAATGATATGGTTTGGCTGTGTCCCCACCCAAATCTCATCTTGAATTGTAGTTTCCATAATCCCCACATGTAGTGGGAGGAACCTGGTGGGAGGTAATTGAATCTTGGGGGTTCTTACTCTCATGATGTTCTTGTGATAGTGAGTGAGTTCTCATGAGATCTGAGTTTCATAAGGGGCTTTTACCCCTTTACTCAGCACTTCTCTCTTCTGCCACCATGTGAAGAAGGGCCTGTTTGCTTCCTTTTTCACCATGATTGTAAGTTTCCTGAGGCTTCCTCAGCCATGCAGAACTGAGTTGATTAAACTGCTATCTTCAATAAATTACCCAGTTTTAAGCAGTTCTTTATAGCTGTGTGAAAGTGGACTAATACAGCATCACAGACTGGAAAGGCAAATTCTTATCTAAAAATTTTGTTAATCCAGTGAGATCTAAACATTGCTTCTTGCAATGTGGAAGGAGTCTGATATGATCAACTTAACACCTGTGGCTCAGGGGTTGGGGTAGTCAAGGGATGGGATTATATTGATGGCCCAGAATCAGGCCTTTCTATTGCAAGATGAATGTTCAGCAACAGCAACATCAACAGCATTAGTGAGGCTGTTTGATCAACCTTGGCAAGGGAAGCCTATGCTGCTGTATTTCTGTGTAGCTTCTATCCCTACCACCATGGTTATGTTGTTCATGAATCCACTGTGTTAGCACTGAGGTGGTTGAAGAAAAAGGGTGGTTGCCATCAACTGGTCAAGTCATCCCATCTACCTGTTCGGTGACTTCCACAGGGGGTAATATTCATTGACATTGATATGAGACAAAACAGTCTGCACCCATTGTGCACATACCCATAGTTATATCCACATACTTCTTATCCAGGTTTCTTTGTCTCATATCTTCCAATCATTTTTTCCAGATATTTGAGTAACCAGTCGAACTATTTGCAACATCTCAGATGTTTGAGTGTATTTTTAGTTCAGGCAACTTTCCCTTTCACTAGCATGATGATTTCTTGCAGAATGCCCAGGAAATCAAGTTTGTTTCAAAGTGTACTATATACGAGAAGAGGAAATTTAAAATATCCCTGTGGCAAAACTTAATGTATACCGCTATCCTTTGCAGGTGAACATAATATACTTCTATACTGTATCTGATAGAGATTGAAAATAAATTGAAAAGGAGGGAATACTTACTTGTAAAACATTTTATGAAGCCAGCGCTATCCTAATACAAAGCCAGACAAAGGGACTACAAGAAAAGTAAATTACAGGCAGACATTCTTATGAAGATAGAGGCAAAAACCCTTGACAAAATACTAGCAAACTAAATTCACAGCACATTAAAAAATCATCAAGATTAAGTAGGCTTTATCCCTGGGGTGCAAGAATGGTTCAATATATACAAATCCATAAATGTAATATATTATATTAAAGTGGAAGTAAAACACCATTTGAATATCTCAATAGATGCAGTAAAGACATTTGACAAAATTGAACATATTTTCATGACAAGAACTCTGAACAAATCAGATATAGAAGAAATTTACCTCAAAATAATAAAAGCCATACATGAAAAACCCAGAACAAATATCATTCTTAATGGTTAAAAATTAAGTTTTTCTCTAAGAACAAGAGCAGGATGAGGATGCCCCTTTCATCTCTCTATTCAACATACTACTAGAGTCCTAGCCAAAAAAGTAGGGAAGAAAAAGAAATGAGGCATCCATAAAGGAAAGGAAGAAGTGAAATTGTTTCTGTTTGTTGACATTATCCAAAGACACATGCACACGTATGTTTATTGCGGCACTATTCACAATAGCAAAGACTTGGAACCAATCCAAATGTCCAACAATGATAGACTGGATTAAGAAAATGTGGCACATAAACACCATGGAATACTATGCAGCCATAAAAAATGATGAGTTTGTGTCCTTTGTAGGGACATGGATGAAGCTGGAAACCATCATTCTCAGCAAACTATCCCAAGGACAAAAAATCAAACACAGCATATTCTCACTCATAGGTGGGAATTGAACAATGAGAACACTTGGACACAGGAAAGGGAACATCACACACCAGGGCCTGTTGTGGAGTGGGGGATAGCATTAGGAGATATACCTAATGCTAAATGATGAGTTGATGGGTGCAGCACACCAACATGGCACATGTATACATAGGTAACAAAGCTGCACGTTTTGTGCATGTACCCTAAAACTTAAAGTAAAAAAAAAAAAAAGAAAATCCTAAAGACCCCACCAAAAACTGTTGAACTAGTAAATAAATTCAGTAAATTCGGAGGATACAAAACCAGTATGCAAAAATCAAGAGTGTTTCTACGCACTAACAATGAACTATCTGAAAAATAAACTAAGAAAATAATCCCATTTAAAATAGCATCAAAAAATACTTAGGAGTAAATTTACCCAAGGAGGTTTAAGATCTCTACAATGAAAATGGAAATACATTGATGAAATAAATTGAAAAAGACACAAGTAAATAGAAAGATGCCTATGTTTTTAAATTGGAAGAATTAATATTGTTGAAATGTCTGTACTACAAAAATCAATCTACAGATTCAATGCAATGCTCCTCAAATTTTCAATGGCATTTTTCAGATACATGGAAAAAAGTTCTAAAGTTCATATGGAATCACAAAAGATGCCATATAGACAAAGCAATCTGGAGTAGAGAGAACGAAAGTGGAGGCATCACACTACCTGACTTCAAAATGACTTACAAAGATATAGTAATCAAAACAACATGGTACTGGAATAAAAATAGACACATAGACCAGTGAAACAGAATAGAGAGCCCAGAAATAAATCCACACATTTATGATCAATTGATTTTTGACAAAGATGCCAGGAATACACAATGGGGAAAGGAGTGTTTCTTCAATAAATGTTCTTGGGAAAATTGGATATCCACACACAGAATAAAGAAATTGGACCTTATCTCATACCATATACAAAAATAACTTAAAGTTGATTAAAACTTAAATGTAAGACCTGAAACTGTAAAACTAATAGAATAAAACACAGGGAAAACCATCCACGACATTGGTCTTTGCAAGGATGTCTTTAGATGTGACCCCAGAAACATAGCAAAAGTAGCAACAGCAAAAATAGACAAATGAGATTGCATCAAACTAAAAACTTCTGCATAGTAAAGCAAACAATTAACAGAGTGAAGACACAACCCACAGACTGAGAGAGAATATTTGCAAATCATACATTTGATAAGCAAATAATATCCAAAATGTATAAGGAACTCAACTCAATGGCAAGAAAACGAATATCCCCATTAAAGACTGACAAAAACCTGAGTAAACATTTTTCGAAAGAAGATGTACAAATGGCTAACAGATATCTGAAAAACTGTTCAACATCACTAATCATCATGGAAATGCAACTAAAAACTATAAACAAATATCATCTTATCACTGTTAGAATGACTAGTATCAAAAAGATAAAAGACAACACCTGTTATAATAACAATTATCAAAAAAATGAAATGTAAAAAGTGTTGGCCAAGATGTGGAGCAAAGAGAACAACTGTACACTGTTGGTGAGAATATTAATTAATACGGCCATTATGGAAGACAGTGTGTAGGTTTCTCTAAACACTAAAAATAGAATTACCATATGCTCTAGCAACCCTACTTCTGGTGCAAATCTCAAGTAATTGAAATCAGTGTATTGAAGAGATATCTGCACTCCCAGGTTCACTGCAGCATTATTCACAATAGCTAAGATAAGGAATCAACCTAGGTGTCCAACAGTGTTTGAATGAAGAAAGAAAATGTGACACGTATACACAATATAATACATACAGACTTTGAAAGGAAGAAAATTCTGTCATTTGTGACAACATGAATGTTTGGAAGACATTGTTATAAGTATATTTAGCCAGTCAAAGAAAGACAAAAACTGCATAATCTTGTTTATATGTGAAATTTTAATAAAGTCCAACCCACAGAAGCAAAGTAAAACTGTGGTTTCTGGGCACTGGGTGTAGAAAAAATGGGGAGATGTTGGTCCAACTTCAAACTTTATGTTACAATATGACTAAGTTCTGGGGATCTCACTTACAGCATGAGTGTGATGGATAGGTTAATTAATTTGATTGCAGTTATTGTTACACAATGTATACATATATCAAATCATTGCATTATACATCTTGAATAGATACAATATTTATTTGCCAATTAAATATTTTAAAATAGAAAAAACATCTTGTACTTAAAAAGTTCACCCTGTGTTTAAAAAAAGAAGAGAATAAAGAAAACCTGCAGTTCAAAGTATCATTTGCTTTATTCAAGGCAAAACATGCTGCAGAATTGTAGAAGAAGGATGGATGATTGTCTGCTATAGTGGTGGGTAAAAATTTCATGCAAGAAGTTAGTGATTATCCACAGTTAACAGAAAAGGCATTCCAGGTTGGAATAAGAAGATGTACAGAGGCAAAGAGAAAGGAACAGTGCAGTTGGTTGGAACGAAGTTTCACTTAGGAGAGAACAAAGTGTGGTATCTGTCATCTTCTTTTCATGTAACGTCTTTGTATGATTTTGGCATCAGAGGAATTCTGGCTCAGAGTCATTTAAGAAATATTCCTTTTCTAATGTTGGTGGTTAGCGTTACAAACTTCCCTCTATGAGCCACTTTACTGGGTTTCCGCTCATTTTTGATTCATTGCGTTTTCATCTTCTATCCATTAAAAATAATTTCTCTAGTTATTTTTGTTCCTTTTTTCACTCATAGATTATTTAGAATTATATTATTTATTTTCAAACTATTTAGGAATTTTCCAGAGAGCTTTCTATTTATCATTGGTTTCTCATTTAGTTACATTGAGTTAGAGAACATACTTTCCATGGCTTGAATTCTTTTAAATTTATTGAGGCTTTTTATTGAGATAAAATATAATCTATTTTGGCTACTATTCTAACTGCATTTAAAAACAATGTGTTTTCTGCTATTATTGAAGTGTTCTATAAACGATAATGTTTGTTTTGATAGTGTTGTCTAAGTCTTTTATGTCAATACTGATATTTTATTGACTTGTGCTATTAATTTTTAGGGAACAATGTTGAAATCTCCAACTCTAGTTGTGGATTTATTTATTTCTCCTTACATTTCTGTCAGTATTTGCTTCATATATTTGGAAGCTCCGCTATTAAGTGCATAAATGCTTAGGATTGTTGTGTCTTCTTGATAAATTGGTTTCTCTATTAATATGGAATTACCATCATTATCCCTGTTTGTTTTCTTTGTTGTAGCATTTAATTAGTCCGATGTTAAGACAGCTGTGCCAGCTCTCCTTTGGTTAGTTTTAGCAAGGCTTATCTTTTCCCAGCCTTTTAACTTTAACTTATTTGTCCCTTAATATTTAAAGTAAGTTTCTTTTAGGAGGTATGTTTTTGATCTTGCTTTATTCATACTAATATAAATTTTACATTTTAATTGGGGGTATATAGAACATTTTCATTTAGAGTGATTATTGATATGATTGCACATAAATCTAAAGTCTTTCTGTTGTTTCCTTTTGTCCCACTAGTTATTTTTTCACTTTTGCTTCCTTTTCTCATTTTTTGAATAAGTTTTTGGTTGAAAGTTGCTCTTTGGGAGTGTTAAATTTTTTAACACTTCTGGCTTGCTGGGTGGTGGAAAAGTAGTGGGAAGATGATCCTCAGATAAAGAAATGTAGCTGGCATCAAGAAAATTGGCTAGCGTGCACTGAAATGATAAGGTTGAGGCACAGGGTTTGCCACATTAACTGTTGTAAGAAAGGGAAGCAGTATGTAGACTACACTTTCAGGAGTGCCTGAAATGTAACTAGTATCTGACTTTCCTTTTCTTTTGTCTATTACGTGTTTTACTTTAGATTCCTGGGGGTACATGTGCAGGTTTGTTAAAAGGTGTATTGCATGACCCTGAGGTTTGGAAGATGATTGAACCTGTCAGACAGTGATATAATTTGGGTGTCTGTCTCCTCCAAATCTGATGGTGAATATGATTCCCCATGTTGGAGGTGGGGCCTTGCAGAAGATACTGCAGGGTTGATCCATCATGAATGGCTGGGTTCTGTCCTCATGATAGTTAAAGAGTGAATTTTCACAATATCTATTGTTTAAAAGTGTGTGACTCTTCCCCCACATCTCCTACTCCTACTTATGCTATGTGACATTGACTACTTTCCCTTTACCTTCTGCCGTGATTGTGAGCTCCTGAGTCCTCACTACAATCAGATGCTGGTGCCATGCTTCTTGTACAGCCTGCAGAACTGTGACACAATTAAACCTCTTTTTTTGTTTATAACTTGCCTAGCCTCGGGTATTTATAGTGGTGCAAAAATGGACTAACATAACCAAGAAGTGAAGACAGTACCCAATAGGTAATTTTTCAGCCCTTGACCCCCTCCCTTCCTCCTCCTTCTTGTATTTTCCAGTGTCTATTTTTCCCGTCTTCATGTCAGTGTGTACCCAATGTTTAGGTCGCACTTACAAGTGAGAACATAACAGTATTTGTTTTTCTATTATTTTCTTTAGGAAAATGGCCTCCTGCTGCATCCGTCTTACTGCAAAGAACATAATTTTATTCTTATTTATGGATGGATAATATTTAATGGTGCATATATGTCATATTTTCTTTATCCAATCCACCATTGATGGGCACCTAGGTTGATGCCATATTTTTGCACTTGTGAATAGTGCTGTGATGAACATACAGGTTGAGGTGTCTGTTTGGTAGAAAGATTTGTATTCCTTCAGGTGTACACCTACTAATGGGATAGCTGGCTCAACGCAGTCCTTTGAGAAATCGCCAAACTGCTCTCCACTGTGCAGGAGCTAATTTACATTCCCACCAATAGCACATAAGCATTTTCTTTTCTCTACAGCTTGGCCAACATTTTTTTGTTTGTTTGTTTTTTTGACTTTTTAACAAAAGCTATTCTGACTGGTGTGAGATGGTGTCTCATGTAGTTTTGATTTGCATTTCCTTGATGATTAATGATGATAAGCACTTTTTTCATATGTATGTTGGCTGCATGGTTTTCTTCTTATGAGAAGTGTCTGTTCATGTTCTTTGCCCACTTTGTAATGAGATTTATTTTTTGCTTGCTGATTTTTAAAAGTTGCTTATACATTCTGGACATTAGGCCTTTGTCAGATGCATAGTTTATAAATATTTTCTCCCATTCTGTAGGTTGCCTGTTTATTCTGTTGATAGTTTCTTTTGCTGTGCAGAAGCTGTTTAGTTTAGTTAGGTCCCACTTGCCAATTATTGTTTTTGTTGCAATTGCTTTTGGGGACTTAGTCAAACGTTCTTTGCCAAGGTTCATGTCAAGAAGAGTACTTTCTAGGTTTTCTTCTAAGATTTTAATAGTTTGAGGTTTTAAACTGATGTCTTTAATCCATCTTATATTAATTTTTGTATGTCGTTAAAGATGGGGGCCCTGTTTCATTCTTTTGTAAATGGCTAGCCAGTTATCCCATCACCATTTGTTAAACAGAGAGTTCTTTCTCTATTGCTTATTTTTTTTTTTTACTTTGTTGAAGATCAGATGGGTGTAGCTGTGCAGCTTTATTGCTAGCTTCTCTATTCTGTTCCATTGGTCTATGTGTCTATTTTTGTATGAGTACTATGCTATTTTGGTTACTGTAGCTTTGGGGTATAATATGAAGTCAGGTAATGTCATTCCCCTAGCTTTGTTCTTTTTGCTTAGGACTGCTTTGGCTATTTGGTTTGTTTTATGATTCCATATGAACTGTTAATTTTTTTTCAAGTTCTATGAAAAATGTCATTGGTAGTTAGTAGAAATAGCATTGAATCTGTAAATTGCTTTGGACAATATGATAATTTTAATAATATTGATTTTTCCAATCCATGAGCATGGAATTTTTTCCATTTGTTTGCGTCATCTCTGATTTCTTTGTGCAGTGGTTTTTATTTCTTCTTGTAGACGTCTTTCATCTTTTGGTTAGATCTATTCCTAAGCATGTTATTCTTTTTGTATATATTGTTTAAAATGTATTATGCTCTTGATTCGGTTCTTAGTTTGAACATTATTAGTGTATAGAAATGCTACTGATTTTTGTACATTGATTTTGTATACTGAAAGTTTACTAAAGTGGTTTATCAGTTTAAGGAGCCTCTTGGCAGAGTCTTCAGGGTTTTCTAGGGATTCAATCATATCACCCATGAAAAGAGATAGTTTGATTTCCTCTTTTCCTATTTGAATGCCTTTTATTTATTTCTCTTGCCTCATTGCTTTGGCTAGGACTTATAGTATGATGTTGCATAGGATGGTAAGAGTGGGCATCCTTGTTCTGTTCCAGTTCTCAAGGGAATGCTTCCAATTTTTGTCCATTCTGTGTGTTGTGGACTATGGGTTTATCATAAGTGGCTCTTAAGAGACGTTCCTTTGATGCCTAGTCTCTTGAGAGTTCTTATCATGAAGAGTTTTGATTTTATGGAAAGTTTTTCTGCATCTATTGAGATGATCATATAGTTTATTTTTAATTCTGTTTATATGGTGAATCACACTAATTCATTTGCATATGTTTAACCAAACTTGCATCACAGAAATAAAGTCTACTTGGTCATGGCGAATTAACTTTTTAATGCATTGGTGGATTTGATTTGCTGATGTTTTGTTGAGGACTTTTTTTGCCTATGTTCATCATGAATATAAGCCTGTAGTACTCTTTCTTTATTGTGTCTCTGCCAGATTTTGGTATTGGGTGATGTTGGCTTCATAGAATAACTTAGAGAAGAATCCCTCTTTCTTAGTTTTTTGCAGTAGTTTCAGTAGGATTGATATCAGCTCTTCTTTGTATGTCAGGTAGAAATTGGCTGTGAATCCATCTCATCCAGGGCTTTTATTTGTTGCTAGTTTTTTTTTTTAATTATTTTTGATTCATTTTGGAACTTGTTATTGGTCTGTTCAGGGATTCAATTACTACTTGGTTTAAGCTTGGGAATTTGTGTATTTCTAGAAATTCTTTAATTTCCTCTAGATTTTCTAATTTGTGTACATAGAGGTGCTCATAGTAGTCTCTGAGGAGTTTTGTATTTCTGTGGGACTTGTTTTAATGTCATCTTTGTCGTTCCTGATTGTGCTTTTTTGGATTTTCCTTTTTTTCCCTTTGTTAATCTAGCTAGTAGTTTATTAGTGTTTTTTATTCTTTCAAAAAGCAAACTTTTGGTTTCATTGATCTTTTCTGTGGATTTTTACATCTCAATTTTGTAGATTTCTGTTTTGACTTTAGTTATTTGTTTTCTTCTGCTATCTTTGGGGTTTGATTTTTCTTGTTTTTCTAGTTCCTACAGGTATGATGGTAAATTATTAATTTGATATCTTTCTAACTTCTTGATGTAGGCATTTAGCACTATAAACTTTCCTCTTAACACTGCTTTAACTGCATCCCAGAGATTTTGGTATGTTGTGTCTCTGTTTTCATTAATTTCAAAGAATTTTTTTTTAATTTCTGCATCAATTTTTTTGTTTATCCCAAAGTCATTGAGGAGTAAGTTGTTTAATTTACATGAAATCGTGTGGTGTTGAGAAATCTTCTTGGTATTGATTTTATGTTTTTATTGCACTGTGGTCCAAGAGTATGACTGATGTGATTTTGAATCTTTTGGAATTTATTGAGACTTGCTTTAGGGCTGAGCATGTGGTTAATCTTACAGTATGTTCCATGTGAAGTTGAAAAGAATGTATATTCTGTGGTTGTTAGGTGTTGTATTGTGTGGTTTTCTATTAGGTCCAATGATTCAAGAGTGTAATTTAAGTCCAGGGTTTCTTTGTTAGGTTTCTGCCTCATGCATCTGTCTAACACTGTTAGTGAGGTGTTAAAGATCTCATTTTTATTTTGTAGCTAAGTTCTTCAAATGTCTACAAGTACTTATTTTATGAATCTGAGTGCTCCAATGTTGGATGTGTATATATTTATGATAGTTAAGTCTTCTTGCTGAATTTAACCCTTTATCATTATGTAATGTCTTTCTTTGTCCTTTGTTGTGGGAAGTCAGGGACCCTGAATGGAGGAACCAGCTGAAGCTGTGGCAGAATAACATAAATTGTGAAGATTTCATGGACATTTGTTTGTTCCCCAAATTAATACTTTTATAATTTCTTACGCCTGTCTTTACTGCAATCTCTGAACATAAATTGTGAAGATTTCATGGACATTTATCACTTCCCAAATCAATACTCTTATAATTTCCTATGCCTGTCTTTACTTTAATCTCTTAATTCCATCATCTTTGTAAGCTGAGGATGTATGTCACCTCAGGACCCTGTGATGATTGCATTATCTGTACAAATTGTTTGTAAAACATGTGTGTTTAAAAGATATGAAATCTTTAGGATATGGGCATCCTAAAAAAGAACAGGATAACAGCGATTTTCAGGGAACAAGGGAGATAACCATAAGGTCTGACTGCCTGCGGGGCCTGGCAGAACAGAGTCATATTTCTCTTCTTGCAGAAAGCAAATAGGAGAAATATCACTGAATTTTCTTCCTAGCAAGGAAAAACCCTGGGAAAGGAATGCATTCCCAGGGGTAGGTCTATTGATGGCCGCTCTGGGAGTGTCTGTCTTATGTGGTTGAAGATAAGGGATGAAATATGCCCTGGTCTCCTGCAGTGCCCTCAGGCATACGAGGATTGGGAAATTCCAGCCTGGTAAATTCTAGTCAGACCGGTTGTCTGCTCTCAAACCCTGTTTCCTGTTAAGATGTTTATCAAGACAATATGTGCCCAGTGGGACATGAAACCTCATCAGAAATTCTAATTTCGCCCTGGCCTTATGATCTTGCTCTGCCCTTCTGCAATAAAAATTGCCCTTTGAAGCATGTGATCTTTGTGACTTACTCCCTGTTTGTACTCCCCTCCCCTTTTGAAATCCCTAATAAAAACTTGCTGGTTTCGCAGCTCAAGGGGCATCACAGAAACTGCCAATATGTGATGTCACCCCTGGAGGTCCAGCTGTAAAATTTCTCTCTTGTACTCTTTCTCTTTATTTCTCAGGCTGGCCAACACTTAGGGAAAATAGAAAAGAACCTATGTTGAAATATTGGGGGCTGGTTCCCCTGATAGTCCTTTTACACTATTGTTGATTTAAAGACTCCTTTAAGTGATTTAAGAAGAGTAATCTCTGCTCTTTTTTGTTTTCTATTTGCATAAGAGATCATTTTCCATCCCTTTACTTTGAACCTGTTGGTGTCATTACGTGTGAGATGGGTCTCTTGAAAACTGTTCATGGTTAGGTTTTGTTTTTTCTAACTTGTCACTCTGCCAAGCAGTGCATTTCAATCATTTACATTCAAGTTTAATATTGATATGTGAGATTTTAATCATGTCATTGTGTTGTTAGCTGCTTGCTTTGTAAACTCAATTGTGTACCTGCTATAAATACATTGGGTGTGTTTTTGTGGTAGCAGATATTGTTTTCCTGTTTCTATATTTAGAACTCCCCTAAGGACCTCTTGTAAGGCTAGTCTAGTGGTAACAAATTTCTTTAGTGTTTGCTTGTCTGGAAGAATTTTATTACTCTTTTGCTTATGAAGCTTAGTTTGGTGAAATATGAAATTCTTGGTTGGAATTTCTTTTCTTTAAGGATGCTAAAAACAGACCCCCAATTTCTTCTGGCTTATAAGATTTCTACTGAAAAGTCTGCTGTTAGCCTAATGGGGCTTTTTTTTTTTGTAAGTGACCTGAACCCCCCTTTTTTTTTCTTTTTTTTTTAGCTGCCTTTGAGATTTTTTGTCTTTCATGTTAACTTTGGAGAACACGATGACTATGTGTGTTGGGGATGGTCATTTTTATAGCATCTTGCAGTGGCTCTCTTCTGAGTTTCTTGAATTTGCATGCCAACCACTATAGCACTTGGGAAATTTTGTGAGGCCTGTATCTTCCCATATGTTTTCCAAGTTGCTTACTCTTTGTCCTTATTTCTCAAGAATGCCAGTGAGTCCTATATTTGGTCTCATTACATAATCCCATATTTATCAGAGTTTTTTTTAAGTTATTATTTTATTCATCTTTTATTTGTCTGACCATGTTAGTTTGAACGAATGGTTTTTGAGCTCTGAGATTCTTTCCTCAGCTTGGTCTATTCCATTGTTAATACTTCCAACTGTACTATGAAATTCTTATAGTGAGTTTTTCAATTTTGGGAGTTCTGTTTGGGTCTTTCTTAAAATGACTATGCCATCTTTAACTCTCAAAGCATGATATAGTTTGAACATTTGTCCTGCCCAAATCTCACGTTAGATTATAAGCCCTAATTTGGAGATGGGGCCTGGTGGGAGGTGATTAGATTATGGAGGCAGATACCTCATGGTTTTGTTCTTTTTCAATAATAGTGAGTGAGTATTCATGAGACCTGATCATTTAAAAGTGTATGGCACCTCCCTACCCCCCAACTCTCTCTCTCTCTCTGTCTTGCTCCTGACTTCTCCATGTGAAATGACTGCTCCTGCTTCACTTTCCGTCATTAATAAAATCTCCCTGAGGCTTCCCCAGAAGCAGATGTATGGCCTGCAGAACCATGAAACCATGAACCATTTAAACGTCTTTTCTTGCAAATTATCCATTCTCAAGTATTTCTTTGCAGCGATTAAAGAATGACCTAATACAGAAAGTTGGTACTGAAAAGTAGGGCATTGTGATAACATCTGAAAATGTGGAAGTGACTTTCGAAGTGGGAAGAGCTCAGAGGAAGATAGGAAGTTGAAGGAAAGTTTGGAACTTCCTAGAGACTCATAAAATGGTTGTGATCAAAATGCTGATAGTAATATGGGCAATGAAGTCCAGGCTGATGAGGTCTCAGATAGAAATGAGGAACTTATTGGGAACTGGAGCAAAGATCACACATGCTATGCCTTAGCAAAGAGCTTGGCTGCATTCTTTGTAGGGTTGTGTAGAAGTTTGGACTTGAGAGTGATGCAGATGAAAACAATTTCTAGAAGTGTTCAAGAAATGATATGGCTTCTTCTAACAGCCTATGCTCAGATGCAGGAGCAAAAAACTAAAATGGAACTTATAATTAAAAGGGAAGCAGAACATAAATGTTTGGAAAATTTGCAGCCTGGTCATGTAGCAGAGAAAGAAAAAGCTTTTGGGAAGAGGAATCCAGGCAGGCTGTGGAGCAACCAGTTGCTAGAGATATTTGCATAACTAAAAGGGAGCCAAGTGCTACTATAAAAGATAACAGGGAAAGGCTGGATAGGCATCTCAGAAACTTTGGCAATAGTCCCTTCCATCACAGCCCAGAGACTAAGGAGGAAAGAATGTTTTAATGGGAATGGTCAAGGGCCCTACTGCCCTGCAAAGCCTCAGGACACTGTTCTCTGCATTCTGGCTACTGCAACTCCAGCTCTAGCCAGAGCTCAAAGGGACCCAGGTACAGCTTGGGTTGCCACTTTGGGGAATGCAAGCCATAAGCCTTGGTGGCTTCCATGTGGTGTTAAACTTTATGGTGCACATAATGTAAGAGTAAAGAACAGTTGGTAGTCTCCACCTAGATTTCAGAGGATTTATGAGGAAGCCTGGGTGCCCAGGCAGAAGCCTTCAACAGGGATGGCGCCCTCACAGGAAACATCTACTAGGGCAGTGCCAAGAGGAAATGTGGGGTTGGAGCCCCACAAAAAGTCCCCAATGGGGCACTGCCTAATGGAGCTCTGAGAAGTGAGCCACAGTCCTCTAGACCCTTGAATGGTAGCTCCACCAGGAGTTTGCACACTGCATCTGAAAAAGCCACAGGCGTTCAACTCCAACCCCTGAAAGCAACTGTGGGGACTGAACCTTACAAAGCAACAGGGGTAGGTAGAGTTGCCCAAGACCTGGGAGCTCACGCCTTGCAGCAGTGTGCCCTGGATGTTGGACATGCTTCTTTTGTATTTCAGATACAAAACCAGAGCAGAGCTCTGTATCTTTTGTATTTCAGATACAACCAGAGCAGAGCTCTGTGTTGGAGGAGATTTGCAGGGTGAGAATCCAGCCAGCAAACTACCTCATCCCAGCTTGTGCTTACTCCTCAATGCATCATTTTCCACTGATGTAAAAGTGGTCTCTCTTTGGCAAGGAGAATCCTAAAGGGGCACACACACACACACACACACACACAAACACACGTGCATACACACACACATACAGAGTTTTCTTGGGAATCCTCTCTTTAAGATACAATAAGGAGATACTACTTTGTCCCAATGCAACTGATACCAGTTTAATTTTGTCCCTTCAGGTGTAAGCTCTTGAGGTTTAAGTTCTTTGGGGACCTGATTCTAAATTACTGAAAACTCCTTAAAAATGTCACTTATTTTGTGCAGTATGTGAATGAATGTGTGGGTCAAAAAGTATCTCTTTAACCTAGGCTCATCAATATGAGGGATTTGTCTTCCTCTTCAGGTACCTGGAAATTAATACTTCTTGAAAACGGTTACCACCATGGAGGGAGCTGCATCTTCCATTCTTACTAATAGAAAATGATCGTTTGCTTTGAAGCAGTTAACGGAGATACATAAAAAAGTGAGTAAACTGCATTTGGAAAACATAAACTTTTTGGTAGAGGCAACTTTTGTAGAAGAACCTCAGGATTAGTTTGAACTTTGGGAACATGACCTTCCACCTCAGTTTCTCTAAAGAGAGCAAACATTGGCATTTTGTTCACATCTTGGTGAAATGAAACAACTGAATTTCCTGTTTTTTAAAAATAATATGGAGATATTGTTAGTAACAATGTTTTATATTCCTAAAAGTTGCTAAGAGAGATTTTAAGTGTTCTCCCAACAAAAAATGATAAATATGTGAGGCAATGCATATGTTAATTAGCCTGATTTAGCCATTTTACAATGAATACAAATTTCAAAACATCATGTTGTACCTAAGAAATAGAAACAATTTTATTTGCAAATTAAAAATAAAATAATTACATAAAATAAAATAATTCTGTAAAATGAAAAAAGAGAAAGGCACTGTAATGTTCATGAAGAATTCTAAGACCATGGAATGTTAGATATTGAAAAGCATACAGAACATCCTCTTTATTTTACAGAAAACTCAAAATGAATTACAATCAAGTAAATAAATAAGTAGTATTTGGACTAAAACTATAATCAGTCTGTACACCTCTTATCCCCACACACCAATCTTGACATATTTGAATATGGATAAACAGAAACACTTCTGCAATGGATAATACTCTTAATGTAAGCCTAAAATTGTCCTTGTGACTGCTGAAAATACATTCCACAATAGCATGAAACAAACAATCATGATAATGATAAAATTATCATAAATCAGATAGATACAGTGACTATTAACTGTTTGAGAGTATATACTAAGTTTCACACATTAATTAGTATTTAATTCAAGAATGGTATGCTGTTTGTATTTTATCCACACAGGATATTAATTGAAGTGATGGTGTTGTATAAACCAGGTTCTTTTTTTTCATAAATCATCCTACAAGATTGTCTTCTTCTAGAAATTTTAAGGGGTTTTATTTGTTATTTCATGACAAATGTGTCACAAACATAGTATTTTCTTGAAGGTTTTCCCTGTATAAAGTATTAAGCATTTGACATTTCACATATTATTACTATAATTGATATTGCCTCACAGACTCCAGGATAAGTGCCTTAAAATATTTACATAAAATATAGGAAAGCATGTAAAATAATTATGTGTTACTTTAGCTCAACAGATCTTAATTTTCTATGTAATTTCCATCACAAGTTTCTGTACAACATTTGCCAGATCACCTGATCTCAAAGGCAGGGAAGGTCTCTCAATTCCTCCCATGGCATCATCTTCCTTTATTGGAATTACAAGGTTGAGAGAAATTTCTAGCCCCTGCCCTTCCTTCTCAATCTATCATCTTATATTCTTGATTCCTGATGCCTCTTTTGACCTCAGATCTGTCATAGATCTGAGGGCAGGTCTTTATAAACATGAACAACTAAAATTTATTTTTACTAATTTTCAATAAGCAACCTTTTTGTTAAGTGTATTATCATTTCCACGTCCTTATATAAGGGAGAATAGGGAAAACAGTGATAAATACACTTATGAATTATGCCTTAATAACATTAGGATGTTACTAATCATTTAAAAAGAATAAGAACTCCCCTGCTTGTATTTTCCCTGATATCTAATGTTAGGATCTGAACTTCTCATTGGTTTTGTTTTGTTTTGTTTTCTTTTTTTTTTTTTTTAGGGTGAATGCTCTGATTGCAGATTTTATTATTTTTTTTTTTAGATTTTTTCTAAGTATTTTTTAAAAATTTTATTATTATTATACTTTAAGTTTTAGGGTACATGTGCACAACGTGCAGGTTTGTTACATATGTATACATGTGCCATGTTGGTGTGCTGCACCCATTAACTCGTCATTTAGCATTAGGTATATCTCCTAATGCTATCCCTCCCCACTCCCCCCACCCCACAACAGTCCCCGGTGTGTGATGTTCCCCTTCCTGTGTCCATGTGTTCTCATTGTTCAGTTCCCATCTATGAGTGAGACAATGCGGTGTTTGGCTTTTTGTCCTTGCGATAGTTTGCTGAGAATGATGGTTTCCAGCTTCATCCATGTCCCTACAAAGGACATGAACTCATCATTTTTTATGGCTGCATAGTATTCCATGGTGTATATGTGCCACGTTTTCTTAATCCAGTCTATCATTGTTGGACATTTGGGTTGGTTCCAAGTCTTTGCTATTGTGAACAGTGCCACAATAAACATACGTGTGCATGTGTCTTTATAGCAGCATGATTTATAATCCTTTGGGTATATACCCAGTAATGGGATGGCTGGGTCAAATGGTATTTCTAGTTCCAGATCCCTGAGGAATCACCACACTGACTTCCACAATGGTTGAACTAGATTACAGTTCCACCAACAGTGTAAAAGTGTTCCTATTTCTCCACATCCTCTCCAGCACCTGTTGTTTCCTGACTTTTTAATGATTGCCATTCTAACTGGTGTGAGATGGTATCTCATTGTGGTTTTGATTTGCATTTCTTTGATGGCCAGTGATGATGAGCATTTTTTCATGTGTTTTTTGGCTGCATAAATGTCTTCTTTTGAGAAGTGTCTGTTCATATCCTTCACTTTACATCTTTAGGGTATTCCTAAGTGGGTTTATTATCTCATTATATGGTGACATGGAATATGGAGAGTAAAATAATTCTCATTTCAAATATAATTTTATAATCTGAGGGCATTTTAGGTCATATAATTGGATGACTATTTTCTATTTTTTAGAGACAGGATCTCACTCTGTTACACAAGCTGGAGTGCAGTGGTGGAATCACAGCTCACAGCAACCTTGAACACATGGGCTCAAGTGATCCTCCTTCCTCAGCCTCCTGAGTAGCTGGGACTACAGATGTGAGCCACAATTGGATGGCTCTTGGTGGGAGAGTGTATAGGATCCAAAGAGGTAAAGAGTAAATTGTTCACATTTACACAGGATCTTTGCACAACTGCTCACATCTAGTATCTAGGAGTATCTCCCAGACCAACACTATTTCACAATTGTCTCTTATAACCCTGTTTAAAATAATCTATCATTAGCTTCAAATACTATTTGTAGCTATTAATCATTGATTTCCTTTGTAATAAAAATAATTCCTCTTTCTTATGACAGATTACAATGAACCAATGGAACCAATGGAAGATAAGAACCAGACAGTAGTGACTGAATTTCTCTTATTGGGCCTCACAGATCATCCCTATCAGAAGATTGTTCTCTTCTTCATGTTTCTCTTTGTTTATCTTATCACCCTGGGAGGTAACTTGGGGATGATCACTCTCATATGGATTGATCCCAGACTCCACACTCCTATGTACTTTTTTCTTAGGCACTTGTCCTTTGTAGATATTTGTTCCTCTTCTTCTGTTGTGCCTAAGATGCTGTGTAATATCTTTGCAGAGAAAAAAGACATCACTTTTCTGGGTTGTGCTGCACAGATGTGGTTCTTTGGTCTCTTTGAGGCAGCTGAGTGTTTTCTCTGGCTGCCATGGCATATGACCGGTATGTGGCCATCTGCAAGCCCTTGTTGTATACGCTCATTATGTCTCAGCAGGTCTGTATGCAGCTGGTGGTAGGGCCTTATGCCATGGCTCTTATAAGCACCATGACTCATACAATTTTCACTTTTTGCTTACCCTTTTGTGGTTCAAATATTATCAATCACTTTTTCTGTGATATTTTTCCACTGCTTTCCCTAGCATGTGCAGACACCTGGGTGAATAAATTTGTGCTGTTTGTCTTGGCTGGAGCTATAGGAGTACTCAGTGGTCTGATCATCATGGTCTCCTATATTTGCATCCTGATGACCATCTTGAAGATCCAGACTGCTGATGGGAAGCAAAAAGCTTTCTTCACCTGTTTTTCTCACCTTGCGGCTGTCTCCATCCTGTATGGGACTCTTTTCTTGATTTATGTTCGGCCAAGTTCAAGTTCCTCCCTGGGTATCTATAAAGTGATTTCTCTATTTTATACTGTGGTAATCCCCATGGTTAACCCCCTTATTTACAGCTTGAGGAATAAGGAGGTGAAAGATGCATTCAGAAGAAAAATTGAGAGGAAAAAATTTATTATAGGTAGGTAAAAGAGAATTCTATTTGTGTTGTAGCATAGATGTTGGTGCAAAATATGTAATAAAAACAAAACTGGACTGAGAACCAGAAGCTGCACGTGAGTACTGATTCTGACAGGTCATAGATTATTTAAAAATGGATAAGCTTTAAAATATTTTTCTGCCTCAGTCTTATTTTCTGTGACATAATGAGAATCTCAAAATAAATATAAAGATGGACTGAGAATATAAATATAAAAATATACAAGAAGAAAATGTAAGTGAACATTTGAAAAATCTTGAGTGTGTGAATACTTTTGAACCCAGATATAAAAATGAAAAGTTATAAAGAAAAGATCAAAGCACTACATACAATGTTAAAAGACAAATAATAAAATGAGAGAAAATAGTTGTGTACCTGTGCTAAGCAATCAATATCCCTAATATCCAAAGAACATGCCCAAATTCACAGTCCATCAAAGAGAAAAACAAAGATAAATGGGCCAACTCATGAATAGGCAATTCATAAAAATGAGAATGCAAATTGCTAAAAATATATATTTAGGATGGTGCAAAAGTAATTGTGGTTTTGAACTGTGAATTTTGAATTATTATAACTAGGCCCAAACACAACCTCATTAATCAAAATAGGAAACATTGCAATTAACATATTTTTGCCAACGAGAAATAAGTTTGTTTATTCCTGTAGCATAAAAATCTGTGCTTTGGCTGGGCATGGTGGCTCACACCTGTAATCCCAGCACTTTGTGAGTCCGAGGCAAGCAGATCACGAGGTCAGGAGATTGAGACCATCCTGGATATCATGGTGAAATCCTGTGTCTATTAGAAATACAAAAAATTAGCCAGGTGTGGTGGGACGTGCCTGTAGTCCCAGCTACTTGGGAGGCTGAGGCAGGAGAATCACTTGAACCTGGGAGGTGGAGGTTGCAGTGATCTGAGATCACACCGCTGCATTCCAGCCTGGGCAACAGAGCAAGACTTCATCTCGGAAAAAAAAAAATCTGCTTTGAGATTCAATAAACTCTTGGAAAGCATTTTCTGCAACCTGCTTGTTGTGGAAGTGTTTTTCCTGCGAAAAGTTGTCAAGATGTTCGAAGAAGTGGTAGTTGATTGGTGAGAGCTCAGGTGAATATAGGGGATGAGGCAAAACTTTGTAGCCCAATTCATTCAAGTTTTGAAGCATTGGTTGTACAACATGTGTTTGGCATTGTTGTGGAGAAGAATTGGGTCCTTTTTGTTGACCAGTGCCAGCTGCAGGCATTGCAGTTTTCACTGCATCTCATTGATTTGCTGAGCATATTTCTCAGCATGTAGTGGTTTCACCAGGATTCAGAAAGCTGTAGTGGATCTGACTGGTGGCAGACCACATAACAGCAACCATTGTAAGAATTAAATAAAGAGGAGAGAAACACAAAGGGTGGCTTGACAGTTAATGGTTTATTTCGGAAAACAAACATGGGAGGGACTTCAGGCTGAGTTAGGTCAAAAGCTGCACTCTCTTACAGACTAAGAGTTTTTAAGGATTCAGTGTGGGAGAGTTTATTAGAGGCTTGGACTGCTTCTGTGTCTCTTTGTTGTGCTTATCTGGGAGGGAAAGTTGTGTGTCAGTTCCCATACACCTTTCTGCAGCTGCAAGCACCTCGCCCGAGTCTGCCTTTAGCTTCCCTATCTTAGTGGACCTGAAAGGAAAGGAATGTGCTTATTACTGGGGCCCCATTGTATGAGCGTGAAGTTTGGCAGTTACCCAAGAGACTTCCTCCCCACCCTCCTCTGCACCTGAGCTGTGTTATCTGTGTTTTACTGTCTGCTCTTTTCTGGCTGCTTGTAGTTAGAAGAGAAAGTGATTCCTTGGAATCTGTGAAGCTAGAAAGGGAGCTGGAACTTAAAGTAGCAGTGTTTGTCTGAGATAATGGTGCTCCTGCTCTGTCAACCATGACCTTTTTTTGGTGCAAGTTTGGTTTTGGGAAGCACTTTAGAGCTTCTTCTCAGTCCAACCACTGAGCTGGTCATTGCCGATTGACATATAAAATCCACTTTTTGTTGCACCTCACAATCCGATTGAGAAATGGTTTGTTATTGTGTAGAGCAAGAGAAGACAACACTTCAAAAAGACATTTTTAAAAAATTTTTGCTCAGCTCATGAGGCACCCATGTATTGAGCTTGTTTACCTTTCCAATCTGCTTCAAATGCTCAATGACTGTAGAATGGTTGACATCAAGCTTTTTGGCAACTTCTTGTGTAGTTGTAAGATCAGCATTGATGATTGCTCTCATTTGGTAATTGCCAACTTCTGATTGCCGGCCATTATGCTCCTTATCTTCAAGGCTCTTGTCTCCTTTGCAAAACTTCTTGAACCACTGCTGCACTGTACATCTGTTAGCAGTTCCTGGGCCAAATGCATTGCTGGTGTTGAGAGTTGTCTCTGCTGCTTTACAACCCATTTTGAACTCGAATAAGATAATCATTCAAATTTGCTTTTTGTCTAACATCATTTCCACAGTCTAAAATAAATATAAAATAAATGGCAAGTAATAAGTCATTAGCAAAAAAAACATAAAGTGAGACATGTCCATTAGAATGATGTATAATATAAACACATTTACTTAAGAATGCATTCAAATGTCAAACGGCAGATTCCCACTGAGTCTTGTAATAAGCTCCACACTGCTTCTTTTCCCACTACTGCAACCTTCAACATCATAACATCTGTTGTACATCACGTGGCTCAAGTGGCAGGGCTGCTTGGACTGCAACTGGGATCTGCTGCAGAGCCCTTTCCTGCAGCAGATTCCAGTTAACACTAGCAGCCTTTGTGTCACTTGGTATAGCGGCTGGAACAATATTCTTAGCTATGGAATGTGTTGCTTCCAAAACCCAGGGTCCTACCAAGACACTGCCTCTGTGATCTTCACTTCAAAGGAGTTATTCTAGTATTCCCCTAAGCACTGAACCTGCAAAAGCTTTCCCTAAGTGTCCAAATTCCCAAATCTTAATATGGTTTATCTCATACCCCCTGTAGCACATGTGCTTTACCAAGATCTCCAATATTCTAGTAACAACTTGTGTAACTTGCTCTGTCATTATGATGTTATCAATGTAATAAATCAGTATGATGTTTTGAGAAATGCTTAGGTGGACAATATCTTCATTCTATATTTCCTTGGGCAGGAAAACTAACATAGTCTTGAGACATAATTGAAAGTGAATACAGTATCGTTCATCTCACATGAATGTAAGTCATTTCTGATCCTCTTTTCTAACCGCAACAGAAAATAATTCATTCCCCAAATCACTGACTGTATCATATACTGGAGACCTTTTAAATGATTCTGTGTTTAGTATAACACTGCTATTGGGGCTACTACTTGGCTGAACTCGAGGCAGTCTATATTCATTCTCTAGAAAACATATGGGTCTTCAGGGTCCAGGCTGATGAATTAAATAGAGAGGGAAAAGAGACAACTGCTGCTACATTTTTTATGTCTTTAGTGGTGGCATTAATTTCCAATTCAAGTGTTCTGGAATCCTATCATCTCCAGTGACTCCAGGAAGCCTAGATCCATAGCAGCATCTCAAACGACTGAGCTTTTCACCAAGCTGGTGGCTCTCTAGTGCTTATCTTTATTGCTTTAGTGGAAAAAGTGTCCTTTGGGTCTTCTCAGGTATACATGCATCTGTAGCTTCTTTGGTCTTGTGTAATAAATCCTTTTTAAGCATCTCTACCTCTTTGAGCATTTGGGCCTTTTCTTCAACACTCTGCATGGCAATAATGGCATCCCTACCTCTTTTACTGCATGCTGTTATTTTTTCCAAAATTCAAAGAGCCATCCTAACAGTGCATTAGAATCAGCTTCTGGTGTCCTGCCTGCAAGCTAATTTCTGAGTCACTGAGGTTCTCCTATGTCAGAAAATTCTCCCCTACTCAGCTTTTTATTTCCCCAGTCCTAGAATTACCCTCAAGATATTAATATATGCTTTTATATGTTCTCCTTGTTCTTGTGGCACATTTTAGCCAATTCTTTGAACTCCTGGTGGGTAATCATTTTCCTCTTAAAGTAGAGCCAATTCTCCTTAGTCATCACACCTCATCATTCTAAGCCTTGACCCTGGTTGCTAAGTCTAAGAGCCATGAGGGGAAGAAAGACTACATCCTGAGAAAAGAAATTACTCTCTTGTGAATGCTCTGACTCATGTGAGGCCTCTTTATTCTCTCTAAGCAAAGGAAGGCTGCTGCCTTCTGGCAAAGGGAACAGGACTACTTCTGCAGGTTCAAGGTTTCAAGGGTACTGGAAAATCTCAAGCACATACACACCGATGTCTTAATCCCAATTCTCAGTGTTCAGCTTTTCCCCTGTCAGAGTTCTGTGGCTCTAAAGAGGCTTTGAATTTAGCTTTTTTATTATTACTTCTTGCAACCTGGTACAAGATGTGTAACATCTGTAATATACAAATCTGATTGAGTTCTCATGCAGTCTGGGTAGAGTTTTCATGCAGTCTGGTCTCTAATTGAAGATGAATGTTTTTTGAACATTGCCTTTCTGACTTTGACACCATGCCTGAGTTGAAAATTGTCCTATTTGAGTCTGTTTTCATCATTGAGCATATTAAAGACATTTAATGTAAATTAATTTCATAGTTTAATAATTATTGTTGCTCCCCATATTTCTCATGTTGCATAAGTCAACATACATCTCTCACTTGTACCCTATCCCAATTCACTGCAGGTGAGTCTTGGTAACTGAGATGCTAAGGCATGCCCATGGTTATTACCATTCTGTTCCATCAGCAATGGGTATTGTTGCCATCTTTCCAGTGAGTAATTTGATTCCAGAATTACATCCCAATAATCTGCACCTTAAGGGTCACTCTGGTACGAGGCATCTTAGTTTGAGTTTTCCAGGAAACAAACCTTGAGGAAAAGATTCAAGTGCAAGCATTGGTTGATAATAGTTTATTTGGGAAGCAACTAAAACATTGACAGGGAAGTTAGAAGTGAGATAATGAATGGAAAGAAATTAATACTCTCTGGAAGAGTTTCCTATATTTATTTTGGGAGTGATGGTATAAAGGTGTATATTCCATTTGATAATTTAGAAACATGGTAATCAGTTCTTATCTCTTCTAGTGGTTACCTTTTGGATTCTATGTAGTATACAGCTATTTATTGAACTATTTAAAGTGTTAATGAGAAGATCACTGCAGTGGTCAACTGAGCACTGCCAGTGCTGGAGATCTCTGGGTGCCAGTGCATAAAACACAAGAATCAGAGTATTCCCACCTGAGAGAGCCTGAGTCAAGAAATGTTTACATAAGCCAGTCTTTGGTTGACAGTTGCTCCTGGAAAGTGTTCATTTTCTGCCACTTCCAGCTTGTTAGGCAGGTAGAAAAGCGGCGGAAAGATAAATCCTCACACACACACACAAATCCACACACAAAAACCTTTGGTGTTAGCAGTTGAAGATGGAACTGAAGTGCACTGAAATGATAAGAGAGAGGCACAAACAGAGTTTGCTATACTGATCATTGCAACAAATGGAAATAGTTTTCATCTATACTTTATCTAGGGACAGTCATTTAGTCAGGAGCTGATTTTAACCTTCTTATTCTCTGCTAGTAATGGGAGGAACAGTTGCATCATGCACTGACCCTGCCCAGTGAGAAAGTGACCACATTTCATTTTAAATGACTGTGTGTGGGTCAGGAGAATATACAAATCTGATTCAAATAAACTGCTGGGAATATCAATATTCATATTTTGGCTTAAAGAAATGAGTTTCTTCTTGGTCAGTGGTTGGAGAATAGTATTATTACTTATGTTTTTGCAAAAGGGTGGCAGTAAAGAGAATTTACAAGTTTGGAGAAGACATTCATAAAATGGAAGTTTTGGTCCTAAGTTGTGAGTCTTTTCTGTGAATGGATATACTGTACATGCTATTTTATATCCTGATTTCTATCCATTGATATAAATACCTTTCATTTGATTAAAAACTTCATACAACTTATTACATTAAAGTATTTTTATATTTTAAAGTGTGTTTTTATAATACAGTATGATTGTACATGGTACAAAATTCAAATAGTACACTAGGAAATGTAAACAAGATAAGCTTCCTATCCATTCCAAACAGAATTTATGTTGTATTTTTTGAGAACTTTTTTGCATATAGAAACATGTATAAGTGTATGTGCATGTGTAGATTCCGAAGAGTTACACAAATGAGAGAGTGGACTTCCATTGAAGTTATAGCATGCTTGAATGATCTATTTCACCAATACTTGCTTATGGAAATAAAGGGAAGTGACAGCGGAAAGAAGAAGAGGAGTGGAGGAGGGGATTGAGGCCAAAGGAGACTCTGACCACATACAGGTATTGCACAGAATATTTTCAGATTGTTTGGTTTACACTGAGTGCTATAGCTCCATTTTTGTGTAGCAGAAAAAAATGAGATTTCAATAATTCTTTTCGCATTTTTTGTTTTTATTATGTATTATCCTTATCAATGGATGGAGACTAGCTAATTTGGCCATGAGAAGAAAATTGCTGAGACACAACTGCCTTCAGAGGAGATATATGCCTCTCTATTTATAAGTACCATTCCCCTGAGATCTCTGTAGTTAACTTTACTGGGTCTACTAGAGGATGAAGACGAGTGAAGGAAAAATATCCAACCACCCAAAAAAAACTTTATAATGACAACAGTGTGATTGCTTAGAAGTTCCTGTATAAAAAATGTATCAGTTGAAAGCAACTGGGACGTTTTATTCATTTCACAGTGTTCTTTTTTCTTTCTCATTTCTCTTTAAAAGGAAAATGACATACATTCAAAAAGATTCCAGTCTGAAGCACAACTATTGCCTGCATAACAAAAACATCTTAACTTTTTCTGCACATTATTATTCTCTTACAGGTTAAAAAGAAAGCAATTTTTATTGTATTAGAACTCTCTAATGGTAAAAAGTGCAAGAATTTAACATTTTTCTTTTATATTCCTATGATTCTTCAAAGTATTAACTTTGAATATATTTGAGTTATTTTCTAAAAAGTGCTCAATCTGAAATAAATTACATTGACTATTTGGCTTTGCACAATAGGGAGAAAATAACTGGTTTGTTTACTATATAGAGAGACTAAGAAAAAAGCTAATATTAATTGCTACCAATTCTATGATAGGCTTTAATATTTATGGAGGTATGATCTTTTAATTTTATGAGTAATATTCATTTGAAGTTGTAAAAGAAAGCATTAATCTTAATTATAGTTCATTTCATCTTAAAATGAAACCATACATTGTGAATCTTGTTTTCATCACATAATTATTAGAAACCAATATTTATTTTCTTTGAAGTACTATTATGAACCTTGATTATTTTGTATAGATACTTCCTTAAAAGTCCTGCTTAAAGTTAACATCTAAAACAGTTATGCCAATGAAGTCTTACTCCAGGTAATATCTGTATCTAAAAGATGAGTGCCCACCATTCTGGTAGCTTTGTTTTGGTGCTGTTCATCCCGTGATGCTGAGACAAATATATACAAAAGTAGAAGGAATTCAGGGATATGATTACCCAAAAGGGAAATTTTTCTGTCTCAATTTGAATTGTGTTGATAACAAGGTGTTCCCAAGATGTTAAGTACGCTCATATTTTGTATGCTACTAGATCTGGTAAACAACTTCAGCACTTTCAGGATACAAAATCAATGTGCAAAAATCAGTAGCATTTCTAAACACCAATGACATCTAAGTTGACAGCCAAACTAAGAATGCAGTGCCATTCACAATAGCCACAAAAAAATAAAATACCTAGAAATACAGCTAACCAGGGAGGTGAAAGATCTTTACAATAAGAATTGCAAAATGCTACTGAAAGTAATCAGAGACTACACAAATGAATGCTAAGGCATTCCATGCTCATGGATAGAAAGAATAATATTGTTAAAATCACCATACTGCCCAAAGCTATTTACAGATTCAGTGCAATTCCTATCAAGCTACAAGTGACATTTTTCACAGAATTAGAAAAAAATTCTAAAATGTATTTGGAACCAAAAAAGAGCTCAAATGGCCAAAGCAATTCTAAGTAAAAAGAACAAAGCTGGAGGCATCACATTACCTGACTCAAACTATACAACAAGGCAATAGTAACTAAAACAATGTGCTACTGATACAAAAAACAGACACATAAGCAAATGGAATAGGTTAGAGAAACCAGAAATAAAGCCACACACCTAGAATCACCTGATCTCAACAAAGCCAAAAATAATAAGGAATAAGGAAAGGACTGTTCAATAAATGGTGCTGGGATAACTGGCTAGCCATATGCAGAAGATTAAAACTAGACCCCTACATTTCAGAATATAAAAAATCAACTCAAATATGGATTAAAGACTTAAATATAAAACCTCAAACTATACAAATCCAAGAAGAAAACCTAGGAAATAACATTTTTGACATCAACCTGGGCAAAGACTTCGTGATGAAGATTCCAAAAGCAATTACAACAAACTGATAAGAGTAGATACTACACTTGATCTTAGCCAAAAGGCCAAAAAAAAAAAAAAACAAAAAAACAAAAAAACAAATATTGACAAGCAAGACCTAATTAAGTCAAAGAGTTTCTGCACAAGCAAAAGAAACTGTCAACAGTGTAAACAGACAGCCTATAGAAAGGGAGAAAATATTCACAAACTATGTATCCAACAAAGGTCTAATATCCAGAATCTATAAGAAACTTAAATTGACAACCAAACAAACAAACAAAAAATCCCATTTAAAAAGTGGGCAAAGGACATAAACAGACACTTTTCAAAAGAAGGCATACATGTGACAAACAAACATATGAAAAAGTGCTAAATATCACTAATCATTAGGGAATCGCAAATCAAAACGACAATGTGATACCATCTCACACCAGTCAAAATAGCTGTTATTAAAAAGAAAGTAACAAATGCTGACAAGGTTGTGGAGAAAAGGGAACACTTACACACAGCTGGTGGGAATGTAAATTAGTTCAGCACTGTGAAAAGCAGTCTGAAGCTTTCTCAAATAATGTAAAATGGAACTACCATTCGACCCAGATATCCCACTACTGATTATATACCCAAAGGAATGTGAATTGTTCTACCATAAAGACACACACGTGCATATGTTTATTGTAGCACTATTCACAATAGCAGAGATATCGAATCAACCTAGATGTCCATTAATGGTGGACTGGATTTTAAAAATTTGGTATTACACACCACAAAATACTACACAGCCATAATAAATGATATGTTCTTCGCAGCAACATGGATGGAGCTGGAGGCCATTATCGTAAGCAAATTAATTCAGGAACAGAAAACCAAATACCACATGTTCTCATGTGTAAGTGGGATCTAAACACTGACTACACATGGACATAAAGAAGGGAACAGTAGACACTGGGGCCTATTTTATGGTGGAAGGTAGGAGGAGGGTAAGGATTAAAACATTACGTATCAAATATTATGCTGATTATCTGGGTGACAAAATTGTCTGTACACCAAACATCCATGACATGTAATTTACCAGGATAACAAACCTGCACCCGTACCCCTTGAAACTAAAATAAAAGTTAGAAAGTAAAAAGAAAACAAATGAGAGTTTACTGTACACATTGCGCCACTTTTTGCTTTCTTAAGAATTTTATTGGCTATTATTTGACAAAAAAACACATAGCTGTTTCTCCTTGACTATTTGTTTGACCTGCCCCTTATTGATAAATATTTACTTTCTGGTTCTCTGTAATAAAAAACTAATTTTGCAACAACCACATTAGAAATGTGTTTTGTCTCAGTTTTCTCTTTTCTTTTAAAAATGATGTTCGCTTTCAAGTGCTTTTCCCTAAAACTTTTTATATGGCAATATTCTTAACCTTAGAGAAATAATATAGAATAGATAGATAAATTTAAATAATGCAAAGAACACGCATATACTTTTTGCTCAGATTCCTGTTAATATTTTCCATTTCCTTTGCCACTACTCCCATGTACATGTATATTATCACACATACAAAAGCATTTAAATGTAGGTTACATGTATTATATTTATTATGGTTGTTTATCCCTAAATACTTTCTTATGTATTTCCTAAGAAAAGGAATATTTTCTTACATAACCATAGTGTAGTTATCAACTTTAGGTTATCATTTAATGCTTTAAAAAATTTAATGGCTACACAGTGTAAATTTTTTTATGTTTTGTGGAGTTATGTAAAGGTATATATTCCCTTGATAACTTTATAATATGTTTTTATCTCTTCAAGTGGTTAATCATGCATTTTTTAACTTTATCAGTTAATTCCAGGCTAAGAAAAATGTTCAAAAAGGATACTTATGTGTCTTTTTGTTGTCATTCTAGAATTTTTTAGGTTGTATTATTCTTGTTGGTTCTAGTGGTTAATTTTTTTCCTTTTCAAAATATACATGGAATGCTGTCAACTTTAAATACTTTCTGATAGAAATTTCCTATGAGATGAGAAGATGGGTGGATGTATTCCATCTGCCAAATTCTTTCTTATTCTGTTTTTCACTTTTGATAGCTTTTGGTTGTTGTCATTGTCATATCATCATTGCTTGTGATATTTATTTTTCCATTCTATAATATTCATAATCTTTTAGTTCTTGTCCTCTATGTAAAGATATTCACTCTAATATAGTCTGAATAATTGTATCTTTTGACCAAAATCTCCTTTTTATCCCCACCCCTACTTCCAGATCCCGGTAGCCATCATTCTACTCTCTACTTCTATGAGTCTGACTTTTTTTTAGAATCCACGTGTAAGTGAGATCATGTGGTATTTAACTTTCTGTGCCTGGCTTATTTTATTTAGCATAATGTTTCTAGGTATATCAATGTTGTCACCAAATTTCCTTATTTTTTATGACTGAATATACTACTAAATACATAAACTTTTCTTCCTCTAGTCATCCATTGATCAATACTTAAGTTGCTCTCACATCTTGGCTATGGTGAATAATGCTGCAATAAAAATGGAAGTGCAGATATCTCTTCAACATATTGATTTAGATTTTTTTGGACATACGCCCAGAAGCAACATTGTTGGAATGTATGATAATTCTGTTTTTAGTTTTTTGAGGAATCTCCACACTGTTTTTAATTATGACTGCCCTAATTTACATTTCTACCAACAGTTTACAAGGATTATCTTTTCTCCACATTATTACCAATATTGGTCATTTTTGTATTTTGATAATACTCATTCTAACAGATGCTAGTTGATATTTTATTACATTTTCATGATTGTTAATGATGTTGAATATTTTTTATATACTTGTTGGCCATCTGTATGTCTTGTTTTGAGAAGTGTCTATCAAGCCTTTTTGGCCATTTTTTTTTTTTTTTTTTTTTTTTTTTTGCTGTTGAGTTATGTGAGTTCCTTACACATTTTGGATAAGGAAGAAATGAAGCACCTGATCAGATATATAGTTTTCACATCTTTTCTCTCAATCCATGGGTGTTTTTTTTCACTGATAACTTTTTCTTTTCGTGTTCAGAAGCTTTGTAGTTTGCAACTTAATTTGTCTAGTTTAGCTTCTGTTGCCTGTGCTTTTGGGCTAATAAACAAACACACAAAAAAATAATGCCCGGACTAATGTGATGGAGCTTTTACCCTTTATCTTTTTTTCTATTAATCTCACAGTTTGAGGTTTTAAATTTTGAATCCATTTTGGGTTGATATTTATATGTGGTGCAAGATAAGGTTTCTCATGATCCAACCCCTAAAAGAAATTAGATTAATTTCCTAACTCCCCTTTTTACAGCCATACTCTTAGAAGTATTTGTCCATTTATTCACTTACTCATTTGTCTGAAAATATTCATCGAGCACTTATTTTTTAATGAACTCTTTGGAAGCTTGGGAATATATTGTGGACAATCCTACAAAATCCCTGCTCATTCTTATGGGGTAGGTGAATGCAATAACAAGTCAATGTTAGTTAATACCAATTACTTTCAATAAAAATAAAACTGGGCAAAGAGAAATGAAGTGAACGAGGCTGAGTTGGGGTCAGCTGTACTCTTTTCCGAAGGATGATTGGAGAAAGCCTTTCTGATGAGAGGATATTGTAGCAGAAACTCGGATAAAATGAAACAAATTGTGCAGCTATTTGGAGAGAATTGTTTTGAGAAGAAGGAAAAAAGAGAGCAAAGATTCTGAGGAAGGATCTTGGTTTGCTGGTTTCAAGAGGGCAAAGTGGACTGGGTGAGTGGGGGAAAGATAGGACATCCTAGGCTTTTCTTTTCTTCTTCTTCTTATTATACTTTAAGTTTTAGGGTACATGTGCAAACGTGCAGGTTTGTTACATATGTATACATGTGCCATGTTGGTGTGCTGCACCCATTAACTCGTCATTTAGCGTTAGGTATATCTCCTAATGCTATCCCTCACCACTTCCCCCATCCCACAACAGGCCCCAGTGTGTGATGTTCCCCTTCCTGTGTCCATGTGTTCTCATTGTTCAATTCCCACCTATGAGTGAGAACATGTGGTGTTTGGTTTTTTTTGTCCTGGCGATAGTTTGCTGAGAATGATGGTTTCCAGCTTCATCCATGTTCCTACAAAGGACATGAACTCATCATTTTTTATGGCTGCATAGTATTCCATGGTGTATATGTGCCACATTTTCTTAATCCAGTCTATCATTGTTGGACATTTGGGTTGGTTCCAAGTCTTTGCTGTTGTGAATAGTGCTGCAATAAACATACGTGTGCATGTGTCTTTATAGCAGCATGATTTATATTCCTTTGGGTATATACCCAGTAATGGGATGGCTGGGTCAAATGGTATTTCTAGTTCTAGATCCCTGAGGAATGGCCACACCGACTTCCACAATGGTTGAACTAGTTTACAGTCCCACCAACAGTGTAAAAGTGTTCCTATTTCTCCACATCCTCTCCAGCACCTGTTGTTTCCCGACTTTTTAATGATTGCCATTCTAACTGGTGTGAGACGGTATCTCATTGTGGTTTTGATTTGCATTTCTCTGATGGCCAGTGATGATGAGCATTTTTTCATGTGTTTTTTGGCTGCATAAATGTCTTCTTTTGAGAAGTGTCTGTTCATATCCTATTCATCCTCTTTTTTGGGTTCCTTTGCCATTTGATTGAGTTAGTTCTTTCAAACCACTTAGAAGAATGTGACACATCAGTAAACAACAATAAGATTAATGTCCTGTGGCATCTATTGTGTAAATAAATTTCATCTGTTTTCTGAAATACCTTGATAGACTCCTCATTATTTACAGAAAAAAAATTCAAACTCCTATGCCTAATGTTAAAATCTATATGAAGTTTAAGGCCAAATATATGTTTTCAGACTTAACATTTGAAATTTTTTATACAGTGTATGTGGACTCTCTTTGTCTCGCAGAGATGCTGTCCAAATTTATAGCTGTTCATTGCTGCATAGAAACCTTCAGTCCACTTTCCTTTTATTTACCTATATCTTAGCCTCCTTTTGAGATTCATCACCCCCATGAGACTATGTGCAAACCCTTCTGGTTACAGAGATGTCACCTGCCTAGAACTCCTGCACGAATCACAACATTCCCAGAGCTGCTGTGCACCCAGACCCCACTTTTGACTGTAATCTCTGAAGCAGGACTCTCTTTTTAGAATTCTCACATCTGCATAGTGCCAAGGGCTGGTGTTCCTCAGGCAGCAGTTGCAGGCTGACAACTAGAATTTCTCTTTGGGGCAGACTCAAAGAGAGAGAGAAAGAGATATAGTTATACTTTGTGCAATTTCACTTTACTTAAAACTCCTAAGATTATTTTCTTAGAAAATAACGTTAATATCCTCCCTATGGACCTGATCCCCTGAGCTTCCGATTCCTTGGGGTAGTTGGTGCCAATTTACTGAAAAACTCTTTAGAGAAATCTCTCCTGTGTCCTGTGCAGAATTGGGTCAATGAACTCTTTTTTAACAGTGCTATTCGAAGGTTCAGTTTTCAAGATGGTATCACTATATTATTTCTCTTCTTGGACACCTGAAGAATCTGAGAAGGAGGACAAGTCTACATTTGTAGGGTAACTTATTTTAATATTAGAAACTATGGGTTTTGTGATTCACTTTGACATAGGCACACAGAGTCTAGGGTTTCTTCAGATGGGGGAGTTAAATGATCACCCAAATTATATTCAGGAAGCCATGTATGCAAAAAATAAGCTTAGAAGCCTGGAAAAACGTGATCTCTAAGAGCACCCTGAAGGATGGTTTGGTAAAAATAGAATATTTGTGTCTTTTGGTTTCATTGGCCCAACTTAAATGTACTGAATGGCCCAACTGAAGTCAGTTGAATTTTGTGTTTGGCATAGAGACAGTGAAATTTGCTGGAAGGTTTATGGGTTCATTGAATATTAGAATTAAGAAACCTTGGCTTTTCTGGCTTGTAATTACTTCACTTTACCTAGAATGTGTATTATAAGTAGAAGAGAAACTTCTGGATCAGCTGAGTTGAATTATCATTTTGCTCAGGCCCCAAATCACAATCATGTATAGTATTGCAATTTTCTCTATTACAATCTTTGGCTTGTATAAGACTGGGAAAAATAAAGCTTAATAGCCTTTTCTGCAGCAACTATTGTTTTGCACAAGATTTCAGGTTTAATACCAAGTTTAAAAAAAGTAACAATTATTAATGGTGTATGTGCTTCATTAGCTTCATTTACAGAGGCAATTATCTGAGGCCATCAATGTGTATATTCCAGTTCCAGTTTTCTAAAATTTTTCCATAACCTAAATTTATTTTGACGCTTAAAATTCTATTTCCATTCTTTTGCATGATAAGTAATGAAAATATAAATAACCTGGGGCTAGTGTCTATGTTTAGAAAAAGTAGAATTCTTGAAACATTTTACTACTAAAGTAATAGATTTTCCTTATTAATCTTAAATTTACATCTCTTCAGGCCTTTTCTTTTTCAAACTCCTTTGCCTCTGAGACCATAAAAAGCCAGTGGCTTTTCATTACATGAATTTTCAGGTAACCAAAATCCTTTTGAAACTTTTAGATCAGAGGAGAATGTTGTTAGACCTTCTTTCATTACTTCTCCTCTGTTGGAATCATTATGAATATTTCAAGATAAAAATTGTATGCCTGACTTTCTCAGTTTTCCTTTTTCCCCTTCATCCTCATTCCCCCTTCTTCTCCCTTCTCTTTCATTGTAATTTTGTTCTAAATTTATATTTTAAAAGAATTATAGATTACCAAGAGGTACACAGATAGCACAAAGAGGTCCCGTGTACTCTTCTTCCAGTTTTTCCAAAGTTATATATTATGTATCTATAGTACAATAATGTAAACCAGGAAACTGATATCAATTATAGTATCATTGTATGATGCATGCATAGAATTCCATATCATTTTATGTTATGTGTAGATTTGTTTAACCACAACCAGAATCAGAATACACAACTATCTAATCACCACAAATATCTCTATTGTGCTACTCTTTATAATCACACCACCACCCTTTTTTTAACCATCCCTAATTTCCGGCAACCACTAACTTGCTCTCCATCTCTATAATTTTGCCATCCTGAGAATGTTAAATGAGTGAAATCATAGAGTATTGTACCTTTTGAGACGGACTTTCCTCAATTCTGTGTAATGTCCCTGAGATCTATCTAAGTTGTTGCCTGAATCATAGTTTGTTCCTCTTTATCACTGAGTAGTATTCTATGGTATGGTTGTACCACAGTTTGTTTAACCAGTCACTTATTGTAGGATTTTTTTTTCAAATTTTTGGCTATTATAAATAAAGATGTTATGAATACTCTTGTACAGGTTTTTATATGGACATGTTTTCCTTTCTCTGGGATAAATGCCCAGGAGTTCCCTCTTTCTTTCTTAAATTCTTTGTCTTTCTTTTCCAAGAAACTGATAACACTGATTGGATCATGGTACCTCCTCAATATTGAAGAACAAGTCTCTTCTTTGACGGACAAAATTCGATGAAGAGTGAATGTGTTAATGGGTATATACACCAATGATATGAAGGAATACAGGAGGATCTGAGAAGGCATCCCAGAGAAGATATTGTTGAGTTGTTTGAGTCCTGTTCCAAAGACAGGTTCTCTTGTTTCAGCCTTCCCTCCATTATTTTAGACAATTTGATTAACTGTTGCTATAGAATTGGAAGTGAATTGGAAAGGGCATTACATTATCTAATTCTTTTTGTATTTTTAGTAGAGATGGGGTTTCTCCTTGTTAGCCAGGCTGGTCTTGACCTCCTGACCTTAGGGGATCCACCCATCTCAGCTTCCCAAAGTGCTGGGACTACAGGTATGAGCTACTGTGCTGGGCCAATATCTATTTACTCTTAATCTGGTGTGATGACAGGTATCAGCCTGAATTCATTGCTTTCATAATTCCTTTTTCTATGATGTGTTTCTTAAAATATCCTTGGTTAGAAGGCAGATGTTTTTAGAAAGGTAACCTGACACAGTTAGAAGATTACATTAAGTAGTCTCCAGAGTTTACTTCTAGGTCTAAAGTTCTAATTCTGTAAGAAAATCCTCTTTTGATCAGAAGGAAACTGAGGAACCTAGTGAGATTCCGTAAATAGTTCAGTATCACCGAAATGGTTCACAGAGAGTAAGTAGGACACCAGGAGTAGAATTTAAGACTGTCGTACTACTTAACTTAAATAAAAGTTAAATTCAGATGTGAAATTAAGAAGCACTTAATTATGAATTTATTGCATATAAAATTATTTCTCTTTCTTGTAACAGGTTGAATCAGAGAAATGGACTATAGAAATCAAACTTTGGTTACTGAATTTTTTTCCGTGGGATTAACAAATCTCTTTCAGCACAAGATTGCTCTCTTTCTGGTATTTCTCTTTGTTTATCTTGTCACTGTTCCGGGAAACTTGGGAATGATCACTCTTATTTGGATGGATTCTCGACTCCAGACCCCCATGTACTTTTCTCTCTGCCACTTGTCCTTTGTGGATGTCTGCTCCTCTTCTGCCATCGGTCCCAAGATGTTGACTGATATCTTCGTGGAGAAAAAAGTAATCTCTTTGGTTGTGTTGCCCAGTTATGGTTTTTTGGCCATTTTGTAGTAACTGAATGTTTCCTTCTGGCTGCCATGGCATATGACCGGTATAGGCTATCTATAAGCCTTTGTTGTATACACTCATTATGTCCCAACAGGTCTGTGTGCAGCTGGTGGTGGGCCTTATGCTGTGGGCCTTATAAGCACCATGACCCATATGACTTTCACCTTTCGCCTACTCTACTGTGGTCCAAACATCATCAATCACTTCTTCTGTGACCTTCTCCCTGTCCTCTCCCTGGCATATGCAGATACCCATATTAATAAATGTTTACTTTTTATCTTGGTGGGTGCCCTGGGAGTACTCAGTGGTGTGATCATCTTGGTCTCCTACATTTACATTGTCATTGCCATCCTGAGAATTCGCTCTGCTGACGCGAGACGCAAAGACTTCTCCACTTGCTCTTCACACCTGATGGCTGTCTCCATCCTGTATGGGACACTCTTCTTTATCTGTGTATGTCCAAGCTCTAGTTTCTCTATCAACATCAATAAAGTGGTTTCCCTGTTCTACACAGCAGTGATCCCCATGTTGAATCCCCTTATCTACAGCCTGAGAAACAAGGAGGTAAAAGATTCATTCAGCAAGAAGTTTGAAAGAAAGAAGTTTCTTATAGGTAGGTGAACTAGAATACCAATTATACTGCAGATTGAGAAGTGATACTTAATAGAGGCAAGACACTGGACTGAGTGATATTTTGTGTTTACTGCTTTGTTTTGAGATTCTACAATCTGGTATATAGTAAGAGTTCAATGTATATTTGTTGATTGAAAGGTAAATATGTGGCCAATACTAAATTATTTGTTTAATGGACATTAAAGTTGGACAGGCATTGGTTCAAAAACAGCTCTGGCCAAATTTTCCTGTAGGAATGACCTACCCACAGAATGGAAAAATGCATCAGATTGAATATGTATACATAAACACACACTTAAAAGATATGTATGACTTAACATTGAGTTTGGCATGCAAAAGATAATCAAAAATGGTAATTTTTAAAGAGAAAAAAGTGACATTTTTCTTTATGATTTTTTTCTTTATGATTCCATTTATCACTATATATGGCAGTTCTAATGATATGATTTCTATTTGACTTTCTGGTAAAGCATTATATTTCGCAATTTTTTCCCTATAATATGTACTTGTTTCTTGGTTGTAGATATCCATGTTCTCTATGTTTACAATGGTACCCGGATTTACCTTTAGAGAATTATCTCTCACTTACAGAATACAGTTTTAGAGGGACTGAGATGTCCTTGACTTCCCACAGCATGGTATAGACAAATACCTAAGCTAAAATTATTTCTCCCTGGCCTTTGAATTGTAAGCCAAGTGACACAGTAGGAAAATGGTTGAGACTCATTCATTTCAGCTAGGTCTCCTGATTGTACAGCCTCTGCCATAGGGACACTAAAAGCTGTCTTGGCTCTTATTCTGTTTATACTGTTTCTCTCACCTTCCCATTCATCCTGTGAGCTACCCAGTATTCTTGCAATGAATTTCCTATTTATGCTGCTTGCAATTCAAGAAATCTGACATATTGCCCAATATTTCTTTGCTTATGAAAGTATTCCATGCTCAGTTAAATTTTCTTTAATAATTTTAAAATAGATTCTTAAGAGTTTACTATTTAGCGTACCTTAGGAGTTAGATTAAATTGTAAATTTATTCTATCTAAATGTTACTTGCAGATCAAAGCATTCTTTTTTTGTTTTTGTTTTTGAGATGGAATTTCACTCTTGTCACCCAGGCTGGTATGCAGTGGCTTGATCTCAGCTCACTGCAACCTCCGCCTCCCAGGTTCAAGTGATTCTCCTGTCTCAGCCTCCTGAGTAGCTGGGATTACAGGTGCCCACCACCACGCCTGGCTAATTTTTGTATTTTTAGTAAACATTGGGTTTCACCATGTTGGCCAGGCTGGTCTCGAACTCCTGACCTCAGGTGATCTGCTTACCTCGGCCTCCCTAAGTACTGGGATTACAGGTGTGAGTCACTGCACCCAGCCCAAAGCATTCTTAAAGTGCCTTCTTTGATGATCAGTTAACCCAGTTCCATTTGTTGAATGATTCCATTAATAATTATCATTAATTGAACCTTCACGATGTACCAGAGGACCTGATTTAACTAAAGAACATCTGCACAGCAAAAGAAACTACTGACAGAGTAGTAAACAACAATTTACAGGATGGGAGAAGATATTTGCAAACTATGCATCTGACAAAAACCTAATATCCATAATCCATATGGAACTTAAATCAACAAGTGAAAAACAAATAGCCCCATTAAAAAGTGAACAAAGGACATGACAGACACTTTCTCAAAAGAAGACTTACAAGCAGCCAACAAACATATGAAAAAATGCTCAGTATTTTTCATCAGAGTAATGCAAATCAAAACCACAATGAGATACCATCTCACACCAATTAGAATAATTATTATTAAAAAGTTAGGCCTGACATGATGACTCATGCCTATAATCCCAGCACTGTGGGAGGCCAACGTGGGTGGGTCGCTTAAGCTCAGGAGTTTCAAGATGAGCCTGAGCAACATGGTGAAACCTTATCTCTACAAAAAACATCCGAAAATTAGCCAGGTATGGTGGCACCTGTCCCTGTCTGTAGTCTCAGTTTCTTGGGAAGCAGAGGCGTGAGGATCACTTGAGCCTGGGAGGTTGAAGCTGCAGTGAGCTGTGTGTTCAAGCCACAGTATTCCAGCCTGGGAGATAGAGTGAAAAAAAAAAAAAAAAAAAAAAAAAAGAGAAGTCAAAAACAACAGATGATGACAAGGCTGTGTAGAAAAGGGAACACTGCTACACTATTGGTGGGAATGTAAGTTCAGCTACCATGGAAAGCAGTATGAAAATTTCTCAAAGAACTTAAAACAGAGTTACCTTGTGACTTTTAGCAATCCCATTACTGGGTATATACCCAAAGGAAAATAAATCATTCTACCAAAAAGTCACACACATTCATATATTCATTGAAACAAAATTCACAAGAACAAAGACATGGAATCAATCTAGGTACCCATCAGTGGTAAGTTGGATAGAGAAAATGTGGCACATATACACCATGGAGTACTACACAACCATAAAAAATGAAATTATGTTCTTTGTGGCAACATGAATGGAGCTGGAGGCCATTATCCTAAGCAAATTAATGTAATAATAGAAAGCCAAATAGCACATGGTCTCCTGTGTAAGCGGGAGCTAAATATTGAGCACACATGGACATCAATACGGGAACAATAGACACTGTGGACTGATAAATGGGTCAGGGAGGTCTGGGAGCATGGGTTGAAAAACTACCTATTGGGTATTATGTTCATGACCTGGGTGACCAGATCCATACCCCAAACCTCAGTATCAGGCGATATTCTCATGTAACACACCTGCACATGTACACCTTGTATCTAAAATAAAAGTTGAAATTAAAATAAAATAAAATGTAAAAAACAATGCTGTATAATCCAGAGGTTTAGAAGTTCAGGTTGTGAGCATTTAATGTGATGGGTAAGAGTTCTCTCTACTGCTATCAAATTCCACTAGGTGAATACCCTATGGATTGATTAATCCTCTATTCTCATTCAAGGATAAGGAAAGAAAAAACAAATTATATACAGCTGTGAAATAATGCGTCATAATCAGAGAAAGGGCAGGATACTGTATTTGGAAAAGAACCTAATGTGCAAGTTATTTAAAAATAAGAAAAAAATGTGTTTACATGTGTGTGTTTGTGTGTTTTTTTTTCTACTGAAGCAAGAGAAGAGGAGATGAGGATGAAGAACCAGTAGTGACTTACAGTGCACATGTGTTGTGATGATGATTAAGTTTCAGTATACATCATGTGAGTGAAAAATAAATAAATAAAAGAAAGAGAATACCTAAGTTGAGAGAACATTTTCCCAAAGACATTGGTATCTAAAAAGGGTGAGGTGATTAAGCAGTCATGAATGAATTGATAAAGATTTCTGAAGGCAAAGTTTGAAAATGACTGAAATTATACTTGATTTGACTTCTTCCTCAACATTACGACATTACACCTTATGTAAATGTTTCTGTCTGCATTCGTTTCTTTTGGTTTCAGAGTTTTTAGAAGCAGGGCATTTGGGAAGTGGGGGTCTAAGGTATACTTGTGGCTAATCCTGTAGTGTAGTATACTTTGGCTGAGCAGTTGCAAAAATTTTGCAGTACTTCTTGTTGGGAAATCTTAGCAGTTGTTACATCATTGTGCAAAAGTTTTACTCTGTAAGTATTTAACTGTTTAGGAAAGAAGTGGGGGAAAAAGTTTACCAGTCAAACACAGAAAACAAATAAGCTGATCCCAGTGGATTTTGAAACAGCATTTGAAGACAGCAAGAATATCTTAATTTACTTCTCTTAACGATGAAATCCCCAGGGTATAGCATACTTTGGGGACATAAGTTCTTCCAGAATGAAAAATGATATAACTGCTCCTGCAAATTTTAATACAAGTGATTAAGATGCTGAATTTATTCCAGAGTGGAATTTTACTAGTTTATTGGGAAGAAGATTAAGAACAAAATCAAGTAACTCCCAGAAAGTCTGACCTCTTCTTTGTGCAGTCACAGGTTGAGGAGGGAGATAGAATGCCTATTTAAAAGGAGTACAGTTTCTACTCCATTTAAATTTTAATCCTTTTTGTCATCTTCAAAGAAGAAAAGATTTCATTAGAATGTAAGTTTAGGTCAATTTTAAAATCCATTTCTGTCTCTCTGTTTACTCTTTGAGAATACAAAAATGAATGAAATGTATTTACAGGAAAATGAAAATGATTGACCTTTAAAATGTGACATGGAGGAATATCCAATGTCAGATATTAACTGGTTAGAATACTGCATTAAAATCTAGCAACAATAATGTGAAATCTTGTAAGATGCACAAAGGGGCTATGATCAAGTTAAATTTGTCTTCAAGTCCAAATAACTTTATTCTTTTCCTTAGTCCACATTTATAGATGAATGTGCCCTGAACAGGAGAGAGGTTCCGCACCCATTCTGGGAGTGGTGTCATCAGTATGGAACACTGCATCACCATGAAGGCATGAGGTGTGAAAGGTAATGAGATGACTATAAATAAGAGCTTAATTTGCAGGTGTTTGAGAGCTGCTGTATTTAAGCTAACTTGGGCCCTACACAAAATTTATCTGGAATCTCATTGCTTTCTTTGTAGTAGCCTCTTTACTGTTAAATGTGCATTTGAATTGATGGATTCTATACTTCAGAAACAGCATACAGGATTGGATTGGGACATTGAAAGATCTCCCATTATTTTTGTAATGTCCCGATGGAATGCCACAGTGGTAAAGTAATAATGGAGGCTGTAAATTCAGACATGGCAATATCTTAATCTCAGCACCCTAAGGAAGTAGCAGTGCTAGGACTGCTTCATCATCTTCCACAGAGTTTTGATTTCCTGCTCTATGAAATGAGGAGGGCCAAATATTTCTTATCCCAGCTTGGGTGGAAATCAAATATATGGTCATTTGTGAAGAACTTGAGGCGCAGTCTGGTAGGTCATGAATACTTTACAATTGTTGTTGTACAATATTCACTGTAGCTTCAGTCATATCCAGTCTTCAGCACTGCATGGTGGAAAGTGATTTTGTATTTGCCACCATTTCTGTAGTCTTGGGTGAGACATCTTGGAGCCTCACTTATTTATAAAGGACGAGGGTGGGGCTCTCTTAGCTTCTTTGAATTTTAGAAATCTAGAACTCTAAATGCATATTTTGAAATTGTTTCTCATCCTTTACCTTCTGGGTTTTACACATTTCTTGGTTCTTGTTTTTATACTAGGCTGATTGCAGCTATTTTCTTTTTTAATTGCTGAAATACTTGAAGGAATTACTTTTGATTTTCATTATTTTTAGTCAGGTTTTGGATTGTTTTTAATTACAAATATAATGCATGTACAGTTGCCCTTTGAACAACATGGGTTTGAACTCTGGAGGTCTGGTTTTACATGGATTTTTTAAAACAAAAATTACACCCAGTGTGCCTGTCTCTCCTGCCCCCTCTTCTATCTACTCCACCTCTTCTACCTCTGCCACCCCTAAGACAGAAAGACCACATCTTCCTCTTCCTATTCCCTCTTAGCCTACTCAACATGAAGACAAGAATAAAGACCTTTAAAATGATCCACTTCTATTTAATGAATAATACATACATATTCTCTTTCTTAAGATTTTTAATACTGTTTATTTTCTCTAGCTTATGTTATTGCAAGAATACAGTATATAAAACATATGCAAAATATGTGTTAATTGACTGTGTTAGCATCAGTAAGGCTTCCAGTGAACAATAGGCTATCAGTAGTTAAGTTTCTGGGGAGTCAAATGTTATACATGGATTTTCAACTGCTTAGAGGGTTGGTGCTCCTGACTCATGTATAGTTTGAGGATCAACTGTATATTTTCTCTTTGTAACAAAATCTTAAAATTGTAAGTAGGGCTAGCTTTAGTTACTCACTCAAATAGGGTTCCCTGCCCCTTTGTTCTCAGAGATAATGACTGCTCATGTGGTATATATCCTTCCAGACACATTTATATATTCTTTTTTTCCCCCATAGGTTATTGTGGAACAGGTGGTGTTTGGTTACATGAGTAAGTTCTTTAGTGGTGATTTTTTTGAGATTTTGATGCACCCATCACCCCAGCAGTATACACTGCACCCTATTTGTAGTCTTTTATCCCTCACTCCCTTCCCACCCTTTTCCCCATTAGTCCCCAAAGTCCATTGTGTAATTCTTATGCCTTTGCATCCTCATAGCTTAGCTCCCACTTATGAGTGAGAATATAATGATGTTTGGTTTTCCATTCCTGCGTTACTTCACTTAGAATAATAGTCTCCAATCTCACCCAGGTTGCTGTGAATGCCATTAACTAATTCCTTTTTTTGGCTGAGTAGTGTTCCATCATATATATGACATATATATATATATATATCATATATATATGACATATATATATCATATATATATGACATATATATATCAATATATATATATATTTTCTTTTATGTGTTTATTTTTTTTAGCTCCAACATATGAGACCATTGATGTTTGACTTTCTGTGCTTGGCTCATTTCGCTTAACATGATGTCCTCCAGTTACCTCCATGTTGCTGCAAATGACAGGATTTCATTCTTTTTATGGCTGAATAATATTTTGTAGTGTATATGTACTACATTTTCTTCATTCATCTGCTTATGAACACTTAGGTTGATTCCATCTCTTGGCTATTGTGACTAGTGCTGCAATAAACATGGGAGTGCAGATAGCTCTTTGACATACAAATATATTTTCTTTTGGGTATGTACCCAGCAGTGAAATTGCTGAATCATATGGTAGTTCTACTTGTGTTTTTTTGAGGAAGCTCTATACTGTTTTCTATAGTAGCTGTACTAATTTACATTCCTACCAAAAGAGTATGAGGGTTCTCCTTTCTCCAGATCCTCACCAGCACACATTATTGTATGACTTTTTGATAAAAGGCATTTTAACTGGAGTGAGGGAATATCTTATCACAGTTTTGGTTTGCATTTCTCTGATGATTAGTGATGTTGAGTAATTTTTTTCATATAACTGTTTGTCATTCGTATATCTTCTTTTGAGAGACATCTATACAGAGCTTTTGCCCATTTTCAAATGTGATTATTCTTATGATTACTTGATAAAAAGTTGTTTGAGTTCCTTATAGACCATTTAGTAGGCCACAAAAAATTCAGAAGTCTCAAAAAATTAAAAACAATTGAAATAATATCACATACATTTTTCTGACCACAATAGAATAAAACTAGAAATCAGTACAAGAGGAACTTCGGGAACTATGCAAATATATGAAAATTAAACAATATGCTTCTGAATTACCATTGGGCCAATGAAGAAGTTAAGAAGAATTTGTTTTTCCAAAAGGAAACAGTTAAAAAGAAAACACTATATACCAAACGTATGCAATAGAAAATAAAGCAGTACTAAGGGGTAATTTATGATAAAAGCCTACATCATAAAAGTAGGAAGACTTTAAGTAAATAATTGATGCAGCTTAAAGAATTGTAAGAGCACTTTGTAGATTCTGGATATTAGCCCTTTGTCAGATGAGTAGATTGCAAAAATTTTCTCCCATTCTGTACGTTGCCTGTTCACTCTGATGGTAGTTTCTTTTGCTGTGCACAAGCTCTTTAGTTTAATTAGATCCCATTTGTCAATTTTGGCTTTTGTTGCCATTGCTTTTGGTGTTTTAGACATGAAGTCCTTGCCCATGTCTATGTCCTGAATGGTATTGTCTAGGTTTTCTTCTAGGGTTTTTATGGTTTTAGGTCTAACATGTAAGTCTTTAATCCATCTTGAATTAATTTTTGTATAAGGTGTAAGGAAGGGATTCAGTTTTAGCTTTCTACATATGGCTAGCCAGTTTTCCCAGCACCATTTGTTAAATAGGGAATGAACAGACACTTCTCAAAAGAAGACATTTATGCAGCCAACAGACACATGAAAAAATGCTCATCATCACTGGCCATCAGAGAAATGCAAATCAAAACCACAATGAGATACCATCTCACACCAGTTAGAATGGCAATCATTAAAAAGTCAGGAAACAACAGATGCTGGAGAGGATGGGGAGAAATAGGAACACTTTTACACTGTCGGTGGGACTGTAAACTAGTTCAACCATTGTGGAAGACAGTGTGGCAATTCCTCAGGGATCTAGAACTAGAAATACCATTTGACCCAGCCATCCCATTACTGGGTATATAACCAAAAGAATATAAATCATGCTGCTATAAAGACACATGCACACGTATGTTTATTGTGGCACTATTCACAATAGCAAAGACTTGGAACCAACCCATATGTCCAACAATGATAGACTGGATTAAGAAAATGTGGTACATATACACAATGGAATACTATGCAGCCATAAAAACGAATGAGTTCATATCCTTTGCAGGAACATGGATGAAGCTGGAAACCATCATTCTCAGCAAACTATTGCAAGGACAAAAAACCAAACACCACATGTTCTCACTCATAGGTGGGAATTGAACAATGAGAACACTTGAACACAGGAAGGGGAACATCACACACCGGGGCCTGTTGTGGGGTGGGGGGAGTGGGGAGGGATAGCATTAGGAGATATACCTAATTTAAATGAAGAGTTAATGGGTGCAGCACACCAACATGGCACATGTATAAATATGTAACAAACCTGCACATTGTGCACATATACCCTAGAACTTAAAGTATAATAATATATATATAAATAAATGTAGCTAATTAAAAAAAATTAAATGACCTTTATGTACTATTTAAGAAGACCATTCTTACAAGAAAATTGTAATGCTATCTTTATTATATCTTGTCACATATTTATAGTTAGGATTATTTAATTTAGGTAGTGTAAGGTAGAGTTTTAATATTTGTTATTTTTTCAAAAGCATTCAAATATTATAATACCTTTTATGTTTAATTCATCATTATTTTCCCAATTTGAAATAAACATTTATGTTAAATTGGCATACGTTCATGAATCTGCTTTTGGGTCTTCTACTCATATTTCCATATAGTCTAGGAACAACACCTTGTTGTTATAATTATGGTAGCTTTATAATCTGTGCAGATACCTGGCATAACACATCCTTTGTCTTTGGTTTTCTTTTTCAAAATTGTGTTGGCTATTGTTGAACATTTTTCTTCTTTATACATTTTTAAATCAAATTGTTTTATTAAAATATGTTTCGATTTTGGTTGGAACTACATTAAATTTGTGAAATAATTTGGTGAGTATCTTAACCCAAATAGCCTAAGAAAACCAGGAGCAAGCCTTTTTCTCACCAAATCACCTTTATTGATCCATCACAATGAGGGAGACCACACAGCTTATAAACTACGGACGTCTCATTAAATGAAGGAAAGATAGTAATTATAGGATCATTGAGAAGGGCTGAGTTTAGGTAAAATTTATACCAAGAGAATTTTTGATATACACCAAGCAAAGTGGGGTTGTCTATAAAGCAGTCAACATCAGTTTCAAATTACAAAGCAGACACAGGGTCCTTCTTCCTTAGGAATTACAAAGTTAAGGTAAATGTGGAATATTGCATCTTGAAGCCCCTTGTTTGATGTTCTGTATCTGTGTTGGAAATAAGACTGCTTTGCTATGTCAAGGTGACTTAGATCTTCTAGAAGAGAGTAAGCTGTTTTATCTACTAATATAATTTAAAAGAAAATTAGATGGCCTATTATTTTAGAATAGAAAGTCATTCTTGAGTAATAAAATAGTAATTACTCAAAGAAAAGTGTTGTTGGGACACTTTACAGCTGCAAAATATTCTATGGAGAAATCTTGTTTCCTGCTGACTCTACAGTTGTATTTATCTAAGTCTGTTAGTCCAGTGTGAAGAATGGCCAGTTAGATTTTTACTTTCCCAATAGGAGCTAATTTATTTTTTCCAAGAGAAAAAGACTCTTTATGACTAAGTCATTTGATCCAGAAGAGATCAAAAAACAAAAATATTATGTTTTTCTGGCTTATTTTGTCATTTTTTTTATTTCATTAAAGTTCCATTATTTGTATTTTTCTTCGTAGAAATCTTGAAAATGCTTTGTTGGGCTTATTAGTGGTTTTTTTTTTTTATTAATTCCAGTTGATTAATATGATTTTTGCTGAGATAATTTACATTTGATTATTTTTGATTTTCCATATTGATTTTCTATTCTACTACCTTGTTAAACTTTTATTATTTTTTTCTAAAAATTTATCTTAACAGTTGATTCTCCTAGGTTTTCTATGTGGCTGATTATTTTGCCTGCTAATAGTGACAGTTATTTCTTTCTACTTTTACTACAGTACTTATATTTATCTTTTTTTTTTTTAGAATTTTACAATCTTTAATATAAATGTTAAATACATATGTTATGGACATCTTTAAATAGTGTCTGATTATAATGTGAATGTTTCTAATGTCTTAACACTACACACATTTTTTTTTCTGGAAGATTCTTTGTATTAAATTAAATAGTTATTTTTATTTCCAGTTTTGGAAAGTTCTTCTTGAGAGCTGCATTTTATCAAATTCTTGTTCAAATTCGATTGAAATAATAATAATGCTTTTTCCTATAATCTGTAAGGGTAGTGATTAATTTATATAGGTTTATAAAGTTTTAACCATTTCTTAGTTAAGTCCCAAATTTCTCTATAAAACGCTTAAACCATACTATTTTTTAGAACTGTGATATATCTAATGTCCTAGCATTTTATTTGGGCTTTTTAAAAAATATCAATGTTTCTAAGTTAGTTCCACCTATATTTCTTTTCCTGTGCAATATGTTATGATTTTAAAAAATCAAAGTTGAATGCATGATCAGTTCTCTATTTTTCTCACTATAGAGACTAAAATCAACCAATGGCTGATGGAAATATAAAAGGATCACAGAATTCATTTTTGTAGGCTTAAGGTATCATCTTCAGCTGCAAGTCTTCCTTTTCTTACCATTTCTACCTTTTTTACCTCATTACTATGACAGAAAACTTGGGCATGATGGTTCGCATCTGGCTCGATTCCTGCTTTCACACACCTATGTACTTTGTCCTCAGCTACCTGTCCTTTGTGGACATCTGCTTCTCATCCGTTGTGGGCCACAAGTTGCTCACTGACTTATTTGCTGTAAGGAAAGCCATCTCTTTCCTGGGCTGTCCCTTGCAGCAGTGGTTCTTTGGGTTCTTCATAGTCATTGAGTATCTTCTCTTGGCTTCCATGGCCTATGACAATTATGTGGCCATCTGTAACCCATTGTTGTACTCAGTGGCCATGTAATAGAGACTGTGCATCCAGCTGGTGGTTGTACGTTATGCAGCTGATTTCTTCAACACCATAACTCACACAACGGCTGCTTTTCATTTTCCCTTTTTTCACTCCAACATTATCAATCATTTCTTCTGTGACATGTCTCTCCTTCTTTCTCTCGTGTGTGCTGACGCCCGGATCAATAAATTGTTAGTTTTCATTGTGGCTGGAGCTGTACTAGTTGTCAGTAGCCTGACCATTATAATCTCCTATTTTTACATCCTTACTGACATTCTGAGGATCTGCTCTGCTAATGGGAAGAACAAAACTTTTTCCACCTGCTCTTCACACTTAACAGCTGTTTCCATCTTTTATGGGTCTCTCTTCTTTAGCTACGTTCGACCAGGTGCAACTTTTTACCCGGAACTCAATAAAATAGTGTTGGTGTTCTGTACATCCCCATGTTGAAACCTCTCATCTACAGCTTGATAAATAAAGAAGTATCCTAGCCACTAGACCACCAGGGAAGTGGGGAAAGGATTCCCTATTTAATAAATGGTGCTGGGAAAACTGGCTAGCCATACGTAGAAAGCTGAATCTGGATCCCTTCCTTACACTTTACACAAAAATTAATTCAAGATGGATTAAAGACTTAAATGTTAGACCTAAAACCATAAAAACCCTAGAAGAAAACCTAGGCAATACCATTCAGGACATAGGCATGGGCAAGGACTTCATGTCTAAAACACTAAAAGCAATGGCAACAAAAGCCAAAATAGACAAACGGGATCTAATTAAACTAAAGAGCTTGTGCACAGCAAAAGAAACTACCATCAGAGTGAACAGGCAACCTACAGAATGGGAGAACATTTTTGCAATCTACTCATCTGACAAAGGGCTAATATCCAGAATCTACAATGAATTCAAACAAATTTACAAGAAAAAAACAAACAACCCCATCAAAAAGTGGGTGAAGGACATGAACAGACACTTCTCAAAAGAAAACATTTATGCAGCCAAAAAACACATGAAAAAATGCTCATCATCACTGGCCATCAGGGAAATGCAAATCAAAACCACAATGAGATATCATCTCACACCAGTTAGAATGACAATCATTAAAAAGTCAGGAAACAACAGGTGCTGGAGAGGATGTGGAGAAATAGGAACACTTTTACACTGTTGGTGGGACTGTAAACTAGTTCAACCATTGTGGAAGTCAGTGTGGTGATTCCTCAGGGATCTAGAACTAGAAATACCATTTGACCCAGCCATCCCATTACTGGGTATATACCCAAAGGAATATAAATCATGCTGCTATAAAGACACATGCACACGTATGTTTATTGTGGCACTATTCACAATAGCAAAGACTTGGAACCAACCCAAATGTCCAACAATGATAGACTGGATTAAGAAAATGTGGCACATATACACCATGGAATACTATGCAGCCACAAAAAATGAAGAGTTCATGTCCTTTGTAGGAACATGGATGAAGCTGGAAACCATCATTCTCAGTGACTATTGCAAGGACAAAAACCAAACACTGCGTGTTCTCACTCATAGGTGGGAATTGAACAATGAGAACACATGGACACAGGAAGGGGAACATCACAAACCGGGGCCTGTTGTGGGGTGGGGGGAGTGGGGAGGGATAGCATTAAGAAATATACCTAATCCTAAATGACGAGTTACTGGGTGCAGCACACCAACATGGCACATGTATACATATGTAACAAACCTGCACGTTGTGCACATGTACCCTAAAACTTAAAGTATAATAATAATAAAAAAAGTAAAAGATGCCATGGGGAGGATGATTACCAAAAAGAAGTTTTTTAAAAAGAAAATTACAATTTTAATTCTCATCAAGAACAAAAAGTAGATAAAAGGAAAAGCTTCCAGACATAGTTAGACTTCCTCGTCATCATCCCAAGATACTAAGCCATTTGCAAAATTTAGGGGATGGCATATTTCTATGCTTCCATCTGACTTTTATTTTACTACTTACTTTTGGAAAAACCTCCATTTCATCATCTTTCTATAAATGATAAAAATTTTTAGTTACCTACAGAGTCAGAACAATTATATGTCTCCCCAAAATCTTCATTATTAGGAATATGATAAAGTCTAATGAATATTAGAACCATCTAGCGACTGTTATTACTAGCACACTAGTTATATTTAATAATGTAAATGTCCACACCAGGAGTGATTTATTGGAAAAAAAACATGTGTTCCCCATTCCCATCTACAGAATTGAAAATATAAAAGGTTACTTTGCTTAAAAATAATTTTTTAAATAAAAGGAATTCTTTTTCTTATATTCCTTTGAATTTATTTTATGCCTATTTTCTTTATTTTTATATTCTAAAAACAAAATAAATCATCATTATAACAGAAAATATAAAATATAAAGGAAAAGAGGAGCAACAATAAAAATAAAAACCCTAGAATCTTACTATTTCATACAGAGACAAATCCTGGCAATAATTTTCAGATGACTCTCTGTGTATTTGACTCTTAAGTCATTTCAGCTATTACTTTATTTGTTGATATTTAGTTTTTTTCTTAGTTCTTTTAGGTAAAAATAAATGGGAATAGCTTATTATAGAAACTAGAAATAAAATGCAAGAAAGTGAATAGTAAAATAGAAAAATTTTTAAAATTCAGAGGCACTGGGTATGGAAAAGTTAGAGGTAAATTAAAATACAGAAAATTTACAGCCTATTTTCATGTTACCCATTTTTGTTGTTTCCAAATTGAAAAAGAAATATAATAGACAAAATTTTAAAATAGTTTTAGCATCTTTTTGTTTCTTTGAAATTAAGGAAGAGTTTCTGGTCAGAAAAGTGGATGCAGAGCTGATCCTGTGCATCTAAAATAACTCTTCATACAGAACCCCAATTTCAGAATGAATCAGGTGCTATCAGATCTTCTCCAGTGTTTACAAACTTCCCTGGAACACATTGGGATGATATGTGTGGACACTCAACTTTCCCCAAGGCTCTCAATATTTCATGGGTGTCTCATTGAAGGAGAGACCAATAGACATGTTCAGATGGAAAGCGGTCTTGTCTGGACTCAGAACAATGGGTCAGTAACTGCAATCTCCTTGAATTGCACTTGAGCAATTCCAATGCCAAAAATAATGGGTTGAAGGCAAATCTAATGATGTTGACAGAAAACAGACTGTCTGTAGCCTGAGTGTGATGAGAGGCTTTGCACCCTCTTAGAGATTTCAGAAATCACTTTTTCCAACCACAGTTTTTACCATATTTTAAAAGTAGTAAACAACATTTTTCTTGAAATGAGAAAATTGTTCCACTTAGTAAGATTATTATATAATTTAATGTATTAATTGAATCAAAACGTCTTTGGCCTAATAAGAATATAAAATATATGGGCCTAAATTAAAAAAATACTTTCTCTTGTTGCCTAGGAAAAGCAATAAATACATACTTTTAGAGACCTAAAATTATTAGAGAATGTTTGGAAAGCAGAACACAAAGAAAGTAAAACTCACATGTAATTTCACTACTCACATATGAAAACAATGGTAATATACATCAAAATAGATATTTTTTTCTACTATTTAAAATTTATATGTTTGTACCATATATATAGGATTCTGAAATATAAAAATGCAGATAGTTTATTTTATAAGACAATGGGATCTAGAAAAACACACGTTCTTGTCATGTAATTTTGTTTGTATAAATAATCTATGCTAAATCCATTGTTTACACTCTTCCAGCATTTTCTTATATGTAGGTATATATATTTTTACAAGATTTTTATAGGATTTTATATTAAATGTTATTTTTAGCTTGCTTTTAACTAGATAAATCCTAAATATTTTAAAATAAATTATGTGCTATTAGATATTCTTCGCAAGAGGATTTTTAGTTGTCAAAATTAAGTTAAAAAATATGTATATGGTGACTCCTGATTAGCAGGCATTATTCCAAGTCCTGAGGATACAGCAGTAAATGAGACAGGAAAAGTTCTTTTCTCCTTTGGAGGGAGAGAAGCGTGCATTTAATGGCGAACCAGCTAGGGATTAGTATTACTACAAATAAAGAAGAGCTAGGGATCAGCACTACTACAAAAAAAGAAGAGCTAGGAATCATTATCCTACAAAAAAAGAAGGATCAAATATATCTCATGATGGAGACAGGATCATACAGTTTATTTACAGTGGGGTTGGGATTCTAACTCAGGTCCTCAGACAGCAAAACTTGTGCTTTTAGCTATCATACAAATGCCAGCATGAAAGGAAGATCATCTAAGGGGAAAAAATGGCTAAGAAGAAAAGAAGCCAAATAAATTACATTTACCTCTGTAGCAAATACTACTAAAGAGGAATTCCATCTTTCATTCTCCTCTTGCTTAATGGAAGCCCCATTTTTAGCTGGTCACATTGCAACCAAGATAGAACACTACATTTTTCAATCTCCTTTGTACGTGGCTGTTGCCACATGACAAAGTACTGAAATGTAAGAAGAAAATGTGTGAGGTTCTTCTGGGAAGTCTCCTTAGATGTTTAGGTTAGCATTCTTCTTGTCACCTGTCTCCTTTTTGTGACCTAAATGTAGATTCAGTGGCAGTCATTTTGTACTATGGGGAAACATTCGGGCTCCTGTCACTGTATAGTAGCCTTATCTGCCCTACATTGGCTATTTACTTACTCATTTTATAAGAAAGAAAAATAAAGTTTAAACAACTTGTTTAAGTTACTGCTACTTTAAATTTCCTAACACATGTAGGCAAACCTAATCTGAACTGATAAAATCCCTTTTTTGGGGGTGGGTAGGGAAAGAACATCCACGTAACACCTTTGGTCGACTATTGTATTGGTTTGGCTTTTAAGCTTTAGCTCATTAAAGGAAAATAAAATTGGGACAATATAGTTAGGAGAAGTTTTCTACTCATTTCTTTTCTGTCACTATTTGACACCATTCAAAAGAAACAAAAACTGTCTTTGATTGACCCAATTTTTTTCTACTTACCTGTTAGTTGTGTCCAGAGTACTGGTATCCTCCAACTGACTTATTCTCCTGGATCAGGGGCCTACCTCTGTGGTTTGAAGATTCAGGGCCTCATGGTTGACAGCCACACCAGGTGTGGGAGGGACAAGTTATCTTAGAACCACTAAAAGAGTGTTTTTTTTTTTGCCAAAAGAAGGGAAAAGGGACATCTGATTGGGAAGACAAACATATTTAAAATGGAACTTTGAGGAAAGAAAGAAAAAGGTTTAAAGATGTTTTGAAGAAAGAGAGAGGAAAAGATTATTTTTAATCCTATTAGATTCAGTGATGTGTGTGCATGGTGTGAGTATGTGAGAGAGAGAAAGAGAGAGGAGGATGTGACAGTCAATTGCAGGTGTGTCAAGTTGGTTGGACTAAGGGATGCCTAGATAGCTGGTAAATAATTATTTCTGGGTGTGTCTGAGAGGGTGTTTCCAGAAGAGATTGGCATGTGAGTAGGTAGACTGAGGTGGGAAAATCATCCCTCACTCAATGGGGGCAGGCACCATCCAATCGTCTTGGGGCTTGGATGAAACAAAAAGACAGAAGAAAGGCAAATTCTATTTTTTTTCTCTCTCTCCTAGTGTTGGGACACTCTTCTTTTCCTGCTCTTGGACATCAGAACTCCAGGCTCTCCAGCGTTTGGACTCCAGGATTTGCACCAGTGGTCCCAGGTTCTCAGTCCTCAAGCCTCAGACTTAGAGTTACAACATCAGCTTCCCTGTTTTTGAGGCCTTTAGGCTTGGACTGAGCCATGCTACTGTCATCCTAAGGTCTCTAGCTTGCAGATTATCTGCCTGGGACTTAAACTTCGTAATCATGAACCAGTTCCCCTAATAAATTCCCTCTTAGGCATCTATATCTCTATCTGTGTCTACATCTATCTATCTCTGATAGGTTCTGTCTCTCTGGAGAATCTAATATCTATATTATATTCACAAATTTAAATACGAATGGCACAACTATATTAAGGTTACATAAGTGAGGCTACATACTGCAAAATTCAAAATAAAATCAGTATCCAAAATTACACATAATTTATAGAAATTTTTTTGTATTCTTCTCTATAAAATGGGGATAACATTATCTAGGGCATTGTATTACTATCAAAATTAAATAAGATATTGCAGGAGAGTATTTAGAAGTGCTGGATGATGTTTCTATTCTTGTTATTGCTGATTTTTTTTCTTATTATTATTGATATTCATATAGTCATCTTTATGGATGTTGGAAAGGCATGGGACATCATCTGCTCCTGATTAAAACACAATTTTATTTACCTAGAAATAGAGGAATTCTTCCTAATCATATGTCCCAAGGAGCTACTACTTGTTTATCATGAGAACCTTGTACAGTGTCTGGCACAGAGTAGTTATTCAATAAAAGTTTGTTGAACCCAACGGAGCATAACAGGCTTTTGTTTTCTTCAGATCCATTTGGAAAGAAATGTAAGGAAAGATTAACTATTAATGTTGATTCATCTTTCTCCGGTTTCTCTGTTAGTAAAGATTTCCTCAAAATGACCTTACATCCTGAGTTTTCAAAACCTAATTTTAAATATTAGTTCAATTTCCCAACCCATTAAATTTTGCTTTTATAATGTTTGCTTTCAGTACTCATGAAATATACATTTTCATATTATTTATGAAACATCCTTTTCTCCTTCCTTTTAGTAATCTTAGGTAAGAAATTGTGAAGGAAAAGAAATAACTAATTCAACTGAGTTACTCCAGTGACAACTTTCTGTAGAACTTTTTTCCTGAGAAATTATCAGATTTGTATAAGGATTATATTTTTCAAAACTAAATTTTAATTAAAAAATTACTCTAAGTTTATATAAAATATTTCACTAAGAAATATATTGTATATCTTTAACTCTTAAGTCAACTCTTGTTAACATGCTCTTAGCGAATACAGAATACGTTTAAGGGTAAACAGTATTCCCAGCGAAATAACACTGTCGTGGTTTCTTCTTAAGTTGTTAAGCATTGCCACTAGATGGCAGCATCAACTTATCAATTAAGATAACAAAATTGTCTCAGGTTTCCTTTATTAATTGAAAGCATTACTAAGATGTTAGGCTTGGAATTTTGGAGGGCCGTGAAGTCCAAAGTTTGTGTGTTAAGGTCTATGCACATTTATTCCACAGGAAAGGACCGGAGCTTTCATTAGATCCTCCAAGTTAATGGCACATCAATCTTTAAAATTGCTGATATACTTTCACATTCGTATCTTTCGATTTGTGAAACTAAAATATAAAGTGAGAAAATAAATTTCCAATGACACGTAACAGAACTATGGCATATCTTTTCTAGAAACACATAGTTAAGAGCTTTTGACTCCATCATTGAACATTCTTAATAGCTCCTTATATCACATAACGATCATAAAAAAAGGCATATCATTAGCTGAAAATACTTTCTAGTCTGTCATTTGCTACTTTCCAAATAAATAAAAGTGAGTAAAATATGTATATTTTAAAAATGACTGCTTCTACCTTTTAATATCGACCACAGATTAGAATGTTTAGAATGATTTGTATTTTACTCTAATTATTCAGGAATTTAAAAATATCTAAAAAGTAACTTACTTCCTTTTCATGGGGTAATACTTACATATTAATAATAATGGTAATTGTAAAATGCTACTGTTAATGGGGGTATTGGAACACTCTTTAAGAGAAAATAATATTATAAAACTTTTTAGCAACAGGTGATGTAAGCCCTTTAAAAATTATTTTATTAAAAAAAACTTTGCAAAGTGGAAATTATTCTCATTCAAGAGATAAGAAATCCTGAGGTTCATAATAGTGGAGTGACTTTCCTGAAGCTACATGGGAGGAAATGGCAGACACAGATGTCAAATTAAATTCTGCTTGGTTCCCAAGCTCTTCTTTCTCTTTATTGAAATGTTCACAGCTTTCCTTGGCTAGGGGAGGGAGTTCCCCAACCCCTTTCGCTTCCCAGGTGTGGCGACACCCCACCCTGTTTCTGATCGCCCTCCCTGGGCTGCACCCACTGTCTAACCAGTCCCAATGAGATGAGCCGGGTACCTCAGTTGGAATTGCAGAAATCACCCGCCTTCTGCATTGGTCTCGCTGGGAGTTGCAGACCAGAACTGTTCCTATTCATCCGTCTTGCCTGGGAATCTAGTGCTTCTTAATTGTCAGCTTGTATTTAATATTGGGGCAACTTAAGGCTGTTTAGAAAGAATGGGTATCTGAGTGAAGATTGTACATTTTAGGTTTCACGGTAGAGTGACTCACTGGGCCACTTCATTGAGGAACTCTCAAAGTCAGCATCCTAGTTCCTCTTTACACTTTCATTGAGATCTGTAATCAAATACGGGCAAGTTTTTAAAAACCAGAGCTTTCATGTAATGAAAGGTATGTCTTTCTTTAATCTCAGTATTTTCACAATGGACTCTTGAGGTGATGTGTTTTCAGTGAGTTCAGATTTACATATTGTTTCCGTAACATTTTCAAAATATCTGATATCTGTTGGAATACTCTAGGTTATTCGTAATGACCAACCATCTTCCAATTTCTGAGACTTTAATAAAGAAATACATTTATTTTTTCCTCACAGTACATTCTCATTTCATGTTGGTGTATTCCGTGCACAAAGACTTCAGGTAGTTGAACACTCCATCATGTGGAACTTTCCTCCTCAGTTTGGGAGGAAAGAGAATATAGGGACTCTTCTTTGCATCTTCCCAAGAGTAACACATACCTCTTCTGTTCAAATTGCAATGATCAAAGGAAGTTTTACGGCTATGCCTACTTCCAATGGAGTGAGGAAAAGCAATAATTTGTAATGCTGAGATATCAAGGGGATAGGCATATCACATATTCATTTAGACTATGAATGATAGATCTTCATTAGTTTGTTTGGGACATATTTGCAGCTCAAGCCTTCATCTTCAGAGAGTAACTAGAGCTATTAACTCTTCTCTGTTATTAATGTCTATAGATTCCTCAACCACTATAAGGAAGCAATTTTGATATAATAATATTTTGAATTAGAGTTATCTCCATCTTAACAGGTATATTGTCAATTTGTCTGTTCATATTATTTTCTGCTTGTTTTATCTTATTGATTCTCAAATATAATGTTGATGGTAAAATATAAAATCTGCTATTGTATAAAGCATTTTTGCTATAGCTATTGATTGCATGAATTTGAAACACAGTTTTCAGAATCAATCTGATACTACCATAAACAACTAATAACATAACTTTTTTTCTGATTTTACCCTCATTTTCAACTAAAAATGTGCAAATCTATGATGGCATAAGGTGAATATTCTGTGGTAAGGCCTGGCATAGTTTGTACCTTTCCTTCTTTTGCCAGCTGTTTCTTGCCCAATGATATGGTTTGGCTGTGTCCCCACCCAAATCTCATATTGAATTGTAGCTTCCATAATTCCCATATGTTGTGGGAGAGACCCAGTGGCAGTAATTGGATCATGGGGGCAAGTTCCCCCATATGGTTCTCATGGTAGTGAATAAGTCTCACAAGATCTGATGGTTTTATAAGGCATTTTCCTTTTCACTTTTCTCTCATTTGCTCTTTTGCCTGCTGCCATGTAGACTTTTGTCTTCTGCAATGATTGTGAGGCCTCCTTAGCTACGTGGAACTGTGAGTCCATTAAACCTCTTTTTCTTTATAAATCATCCAGTCTCGGGTATGTCTTTATCAGCAGTGTGAAAACCAACTGATACACCCAGAAAATCATTTAGGTAAAGGAAGAAAATACTTTTTAAAAGCACAGACATATACATTGAAAATAAAGCCAATCATCTGCCTTTTCTTTGACATATGGGTTTGTTTTGTAAGTTTAACATCTTAACTTTAATCATGAGTAATTATCCCCTTACTTCTAGAAAAGCACTATCTAGAAATTGTCTTTGTGGCTACAGAAAATACATTTTTACAAAAACTTAGAAATATAGATTATAAAGATTATTCAGCACAGATGTACATAAAGAAATTTAAAATAATTATGTGATAAGCAACATAGGAAGAATTAAAATATTAATATTGATTCTTATTTAAATCAGTAAATACAATTTCAAAACAGTTAGAAAATACAAATACCCTCATGGAACAAACATTTACCTGTTCTTCAAATAAAAGTGCTTTAAGCAACCATTAGAGAGAGGGTAAATAGAGTCAGAATTCTAGTAACATCTCAGATGTATTTGTTTCCATGAAGAAGAGGCAAAATATTATAGGCAAAATCATAGTAAAGTAATAATGAAGAGGATTTGTGAACTTTAAGGAAATTACAATGCAGCTGCAGAAATAAAAGCCACATGGAGGCTTTAAAAGGAATCGACACTTAGAGGATCAAATTTTTGTTTGAGAGTAATTTTTTGTTTTTTTTTTTTGAGATGGAGTCTCCTGCCACCCAGGCTGGAGTGCAGTGGCACAATCTCGGCTCACTGCAACCTCTGCCTCCCGGGTTCAAGCAATTCTCCCACCTCAGTTTTCTGGGTAGCTGGGATTGCAGGTGTGCACCACCATGCCCGACTAATTTTTTTTTTTTTTGTATTTTTACTAGAGACGGGGTTTCTTGAAAAGTTCTTACAAAGTGCAGAGAGAAAAGAAAACGTAATTAAAAGGATGAAAAGACACATACTGATATCAAAAACATAGAATAGAGATTCACCTAACAGATAATATGTGTATTTTTAGGATAAATCAGAACAATCAGGGCAGAAAGGATGATCAAGGCTACAGAATGTTTCCTGGGCTAATAAAGGGTCACATATTTAGGTCCAGGAGTGGTGGCTCATGCCTGCAATCCTAGCACTTTGGGAGGCCAAGGCAGGTGGATCACTTGACGTCAGGAATTCGAGACCAGCCTGGCCAACATGGTGAAACCCCATGTCTACTAAAAATACAAAAATTAGCTGGGTGTGGTAGTGCACCTGTAATACCAGCTACTTGAGAGGCTGAGGCATGAGAATCCCTTGAACCCTGGGGGTGGAGGTTGCAGTGAGCCGAGATGGCGCCACTGCTCTCCAGCTTGGGCGACAGAGGGAGTGAGATTTCTTCTCAAAAAAACAACAAAACAAAAAAAAAGAAAGTCACGTATTTAGATTTAAATTTTTTACTACATCTGGACAAAAATCAAGAAAAAGAAGCTCACACCTAGACAAGTCCTAGAAGAGATGGTTTTATTGTAAGGTTAATAAAATAATTATTTATGTATGAAGACAATCAAACCTGCTACCCCCAAAGGGGGAAAAGTCAAATAATTATCAGTATCCTTAACAATATTAAACATAGTAAAAATTAATATCATTAGTAATAATGACTGTTAATACTATTTTAGACATAAAAAAATTAAGCTGTGATACCTAAAGGGTTTTCAGGGGAGAGGTAAATTTGTTTTGCATGCATATAGTCAACAGACTCATCAAAAATTTAGCTCTCATAAAAAATGCTTTAAAGAACATGGCAGCATGTAAAGAAATCAAAAACAAAATTCTCAGAGTAGGGACATTCTGTTGTATGCTGAAAGACTTGTAGTTGTCTAGAATCAAAATTCAGAATTCTATTTTGACTTTTTTGTCAGGTTAATGCTATTTGCAGTGGAGGTAAAACTTAACCATGAAGTGTTTTGTTGAACTGGTTTTTATTCTTTTCTTGGCAACAAGAAATGTGTATTCTTTACCATACTTCAACTGTTTAGATATAATCTGCTGAAGTTTAATGATCAATTAATACATCATCAGAAGTCATCTTCCAGCTTACAATAATTAAACTCTTTACGTGTTTTGGTCAAAGTTGTGGGAAAATTAACTTCTTCAGCAACATGTGTTAAATGCTACTTCTAAGGAAAATCCATTTTCTACAGATTTTGCTCATGTTCCCAAGACATGAATGCAAAACAGAGGGGGGGCAGAGATAGCTAAGGTTCTTTGGTGGCCCTCCCTCTCTTGTGCTATGTCAATTTAAAAAACATACCTTGTAAATGGAGTTTCCTTGCTTAGTATGGAACTAGAGAGAAGTGGAGTCACTATATCCAGTTAGAAACAAAACACAAAATTATCAAGAAACATCTTACTGGACTTATTTAGAATATAAAACAACTTTAATTGCACTTTCCCTTAAGCAGCCTCATTCCCAAGTTATGGCACACTCTGGGGACAGAGTGCCTTCAATAACAACAGCAAGAAAAAAAATGATGCAACTAGTTCAGGGAACATTTATCTAATTGAAAAAGAATCTGATTATGTTTTACACTGATGTCTTCCACGTTTATTTGGAAGAAGATAAAGAATAAAATCAAATGACAAAAGTAAATTCTGACCCATTCTCTATGTCAAGGTAGCTGTGTGAAGGGGAGGGTTGTAACTTGAGACAGGGCTTAGTTTTACTTTAGTTCCTTTTGTTGTTGAAGTAGAGGGAGCCCATTAGAATGTAAGTTGAGAACTTTTAAATAATTTCTTTTCGTCATCGTTAAATAAGGAGGAACTCATTAAAAAGTGAGTTGAGAACTTTTAAATAATTTTCTGCTTTTTAATTATCTGCTTATTAACAAGCTCAAGAAAACGTAAATTTTTTCAAGTGGAATTCAACTAGATTACATATTTGGTTCATGGCAAGATCAGCATTACCCTTGTCATTGACGAATGATTCAGCAAGAGCTAAGAAGAGATGATGTGTGTAGAGATAAGGTTCTGCAACCAGATCAAACTATAATCACATAATTATAAAGTGGGACAGAGATGCTTTAGCAGTACTATAATGGGACAAGACAGCACTGAATCCCACCCATTCGATGCCTAAAACACCCAGGTGATTTCCTTGCTAAGGGAAAGCTGTTGTAGGTTGTGTTGCTGGTACCTTAGTGCCCTGAATATGAGAGCCAATTGTGTCTCTCACTCTGTGTGGTTTGATCTCTACGGACCACTGTATTCTATTCTAAGCACTGAATAAAACAGAAATGGAGAAGCCAAAATGTGTCTAGAGGGATAGAAGGATTGGGCAGTTGTAGAAACGAAGATTGACAAAGAAAGGGTGAAGAGCTCTGGACGATTTTCAAGTCAAAGGCTGAAATGTAGCGTGTTCCTGGAGGAGCTTAAGCAAGAGGTGAATGTGATGGTTGAACACTTAGACTGGCCACCTAATCTGTCTTTTTAATTCCTCTGAAACAAATGATATCATGCCAAGTGTGTATATTATTGGCCTTAAAGGAGGTCTATTAAAGTCAAATAATAAATCTCATGTTAGAAAAATGAAAGAAAAGTTCCTATCGTAAGTATGATATTGAACTGCAATATTCGAGGCTAATAAAATAGTTTTCTGAGCACTTGTACCTTGATCCTCTCATTTTAAGTGGATGATAATTCTCAGAGATCAAAGAGCAAGAGTTTTTGCTATATTTAATAAATCAAGCAGCTAAGATTTGGAGAGATCAGCTGAAGATCACCCTTATAGTGGATGACAAAAGAATATACAGAGGATACAGAATTTGGGCTCTTTTTCCAGATTCTTTTCTTTTCTTTTGGATCTCTTAAGAGCAAAGGAACTGTGAAGGCACAGGAAGCATTGAAAAAGTGTGAAAAAGGAAGGAGTATAGTCCTTTTGGATGAAGTCCAAATATGGGGTCCATGTTTGAAGTTTGACAGACCTGTGTTCAAAGTTCACCTCTGCCAGTCACAAGATTTATGAATGAGGGTTGAGCTTCAGTGTTTCTCCTTGAAATTAAAAAAAATATTTAGCTTGCAGGCTTTCTAGAGGGATTAACTAATGTGATAATATGAGTAGTAATTATTGAGCACTTATCTAGATGTTTAGTAAGACTCTTCTAGATATTTTGCATGCATCATCTCATTTAAACCTCACAACACTTACATGGTAGGTATTGTTATTCCCATGACAGAGTTGAAGATAAGTTACTTTTTCAGGGTCAGAAGAGGTGGACTCCAGTGCACTTGGAAAACATGCATTTAGCCTTAGGTTGTAATCATAAAGTGCACAGCATATGGCCTAGAAATGAGTGGCTGTTCATTTCCTCTCTAGCTTGCTCACTCCCACCCTCCTGCATCCCTTCACCAGGTGTGTGTCTACCTGGTGGACTCAGGTAAGGGTCACTGAAGTAGAAGTCATTAGGCAAGTATTCAGGAATCAACTCTGCCAATAATTAGTTATGGGACCTTGAGAAAGCTGCTTCTTCTGTTTTCTCATCTATGTACAGATGGATTTTCATGGAGTCTTAAGATGTCATAGCTTCAGGTCTGCTGTTTTGCACTGGTGTATATCTCACTTTTGTTTGACTGCATGGTGTAACTAATTTATATCATTCTTGACTTTGACCAAGTTCGTGGCATATTTTTGCTGTGTCTCATTTTTGAAGTCACATTTATCAAGTCTGTTGTGAATTCTTTGCTCTTCTTCTAGTAGAAAGCAGAACCAGTCAATGGCTAATGAAAACTACACAAAGGTCACCTAATTCATTTTCACAGGCTTGAATTACAATCCTCAGTTGCAGGTCTTCCTTTTCCTACTCTTTCTGACAACTTTCTATGTCATCAATGTAACTGGAAACTTGGGAATGATTGTCCTCATCCGAATTGATTCCCGCCTTCACACACCCATGTACTTTTTCCTCAGCCACCTGTCCTTTGTGGACACCTGCTTCTCCTCAGTTGTGAGCCCCAAGATGCTCACTGACTTCTTTGTGAAGAGGAAAGCCATTTCTTTCCTTGGCTGTGCTTTGCAGCAGTGGTTCTTTGGGTTCTTTGTGGCAGCAGACTGTTTCCTCTTGGAGTCCATGGCCTATGACTGCTATGTGGCCATCTGTAACCCATTGTTATACTCAGTTGCTATGTCCCAGAGGCTCTGCATCCAGCTAGTGGTGGGTCCCTATGTCATTGGACTCATGAATACCATGACTCACACAACAAATGCATTTTGTCTCCCTTTTTGTGGCCCTAATGTCATCAATCCTTTCTTCTGTGATATGTCCCCCTTACTTTCCCTTGTATGTGCTGATACCAGGCTCAATAAGTTGGCAGTTTTCATCGTGGCTGGAGCTGTGGGAGTCTTCAGTGGTCTGACTATCCTGATTTCCTACATTTACATCCTCATGGCCATCCTGAGGATCCGCTCTGCTGATGGGAGGTGCAAAACCTTTTCTACTTGCTCTTCTCACCTGACAGCTGTTTTCATCTCGTATGGTACCCTTTTCTTTATTTATGTACATCCCAGTGCAACCTTCTCCCTGGATCTCAATAAAGTAGTGTCTGTGTTTTACACAGCAGTGATTCCTATGTTGAACCCACTTATCTACAGCTTGAGAAACAAGGAAGTCAAAGATGCCATCCACAGGACTGTCACTCAGAGGAAGTTTTGCAAGGCCTAAATTCTTATCCAGAAGGAATTAGGGAGGAAAATTTAAAAGAACAGAGTAATTGTGTGGCTTCCTAAGATTCCAAAACACTTGCAAGTGTTTGGGGGCTGTTTAGCATCCCTTTATCCATTCAACCATCCAATTATTCACTTATTTAGTCAATCCATGTGGATTTATTTGGCCCTATATGTAATCTTTTCCCTATAACATACCAATATTACAGTTCAAACTCGTGGTCCATTTAATTTTACTTCCCTCAGACATCTCATGGTCCAATTATTTTCAAAAAAGCTTTACTTTATTATTTATTTTTTGTTATTTTTAAATCACTCTGCTAATGTATTTTTTTGATGAATCCCTGGCATTAGAATATAAAAATTTAGTGCTATAAGTTTTGTACTCATGTCTAACTCCCATCAATAGGAATTTGTAAAAAAAAATGATGTGGGGATTTTGTGGTTGGCCTCATGAATGGAATGAAACTCTTGGCTGTATGCACCAGGATTTTAGGGTGGCCTTGACACAAAGAACTATGCATATCTCTGGGAATGAAGACAGATCTCTTTTGAACTGTATGACAAATGAGGCAGGCCACTGGGCCTACTTATGGCAATAAAGAGACTTGCATGCATCTCTAATGAATTTCATACCTAAAAGAGCTTCTGAAAAAATCGGTTCTGTATTTTCTCATGATTCAATTTTCTGATAGATGTTTAGAGGATGTTTTGAACTTTGATAGCTTGTGGTTTGGTCGTGTGTATGATAATGTCTTCTATAACCTGGTAATGGCCCAGCCAAGAATGTATGGAGAAATGTTATAGTAGAAAGTAGGCCCTTTATAGATCTGCTGGCTCTAGTGAGATTAGTAGATTTCCAGCATCATAAAGGACCACATGCATGCAGCTCAATTTGACTGGCATGACTCCTGGGCATGATGAGTACTGAGCATCCCTGTGGTCTGTAGCCCAGTGATGTGTCACCACAGCATGAGGAGAGTGGGCACCCATGCCAGGGGTTCCATGTCCTCTTAGAGTCCTACGATGGTTACCCAATTCTATCTTGTCTCTCCCAACCTAGCTTTACCTCTTGATTTTGTAATGAAGAGACAAAAAAGAGAGAGCTTCACTGAGGAATAAATCAGCTTCCTAGATGACATTAAAATCATAGCCAAATTGTTACAGAAATATCCTAAGGTTTTTAAGGGACTTTTAGTTCCACCTATTTGCCCAAAATGAATCCGGCAAGGATAATTAAAATGTTTTCACTGAAGGTCATATTCTACTGGCTAGGTAAATAAATAAAGTTTCTATATTTTAGAGTGCATTATACGTACAAAGTATTATGAGCTATTTTTATTGATTATTCCAGAATGCACAATTTCTGAAAACAGACAATTGCTCAATGAGTGCCCACATAATTATAACGTGTTTAGCTGGAAGGGCCTTAGAGATCAATTTATTCTAGCCAGATTATTGGCCAGTTACGGAGGCTTGGGAAAAATCTTTTTTATTATCTTGTCATTTATAAAAATCCAAAATGTGGCTTGCCATAAAATGTACTTATGGTAGTTCCACTTGGACTTCTGGAACCTGGGTGAAAATAAATTTCCTAGGTAACATAAAGTTTCTACCCCAGATAGTAGAATATTTGTTGGATATGGTAGAGAAGAAGTGTGATATAGTAAAAATAATTATAGGATTTAAAATCGGAAGACTTCATACATTAATTTATTTTAACAAATAATTATCGAGCTGCTTCTATGTGTCAAGCACTGACCCTGGTGCTACATGTGATAGTGAAAACTATGAATATCACTCCTGCATCCATGGAATTTACAGGATAGTGGATCTAAGATACATTTCTGGTAATTACACTTTTGATGTGTCAGTCAAGTCCAGGATGAGATAAATGGAAGTAATGACAATATCCACCACATCATAGGGCTTCTATGAAGATTAAATTAGGTAATAGATGTGGAATTACTACATAAACTATAAACACATTTTGCTGCTTCCTAATGAAATTTATTCAATGAAACAGCAAAATTTTGGAACTAGATTGTTTCCCTAAGTGTGCCAGATTCCCCAATATTTGTTCCATTGCAAGATTTTAACATGTAATAATGGAAGGGGAGATGGAGGCAGCATGGGTGTGGAAAGAGCTTGGGTTTTGAGACAGTCTAGGTCTAACTGAATTCTAATCCTCATTTTGTCACTTGAAGTTTGTGGTTTTAGGGCTGTCTTTTAATTCTACCTATAACCTTGGGATAATACCAAATTCACTGAGTTTTTTGAAGGAGCTGAAGTACAAAGGAGCTGAAGCAGAAGCTTTATTATTTTTTGTAATTGGCCCTTTAAAATGGTATTATTATCTTAAACCTTCCTTCCACTTACTGGCATTGTAGATAGCTAGCTCTAATAGTTTTTTCTTTCACTCAGAAGTAAGAAACAAGTGATTTTCTTTAAAGTATTAAAAAAAAAGTTGAGTCCACTGTAACATCAAGCTGTATACCCTATCGCAATTAATCACCCTCACTACCCCATCTCAGGCTCTGGAGACTTTAGTAGAGAAAGGAGGCAAATCAGATTCCCCATTTAATGCTGTTCTTCATTTCTGACTATGTAGTTGCTGTGTGACTAGCCCAAGATCGAATGCCAGGATTGAAAGAAGAGGCAAAAGAGAGCAAAAATAGATGACTGGAGTAGTAGGAATCTGGTGTTAGCACATTCTAACAATGTATGCATGATTGCTAGTTCTTTCTCTTGGGAGATGCTTTCATAGCTTCCTCAGAACAAGAGTCCCTGCTTCCCCTGCGACCCCTGAAGGCTTGACCTCTTAATTCAGCCCTTTAGTTTTTTGTGAGGCCAGTGCCTTCTCGGGCTGGACATTTACGGTTCCTCCAGCAGTTCCTTAGCTTTTGGCATTGACTTCTATACCATGATCATCTCACCCCCCAGGAGATTGCCTTGAAAGAGTTCCTTTTTAAGATGATACAGAATCTTCCCACTTCAATGAGACCCATATCTGGCTAATGGGGACACAGATGCCTCCTGTTCCCTCCATGCTCTGGAAGAGTAGGCTCTTCCACCAAATGTGGACCTTTTGCAGGCTCTGTCACTTGGTTTAGGTAGAAGGAAAAGAATGGCCATTGACAATTCTCTCCAAGGAAATTCTCCCCCAGTTCTCTTCACTTCCTCTTCCCAAATTCTTTTCCTCTAGGCTTAGAGAGTTCAGAGGTGAATGATCAAATCTACTAATGGTGGAGGAACCAGTATGGGATGCTCCCATCCCCTTAGCAAGCAGATGTCCATATACTAGCTTTAGAATTCACTGACTTCAGACACTCAGCAGTTTGCCCTTGATTTGGGGACCTGTGCTGAAAATCAGAGACAACATTTATTATCCTGTTATAATTTAAATCAGATAATAAATAGTAGGTATCTAGTTTTTTGCCTAGATATAATAAATGCTCAATAATAATTTTATCATTGCAACATTTATTATTTTTGACACATGACAATCTCTAAATGTTGCTGCATGTAAACTAATTTGATTTCTGTGTTATTAGCAGGCACTTCATCACCAACACTTATAAAGATACCTTTATAACTTCTTAGTTTACTTTGAGATTTCCCATAACAGAGAAAAGAAAATGTACATAAATATGGAATTCTGTTTTATATTCCTATAGTAATGAGTTGAAAAATAAAGACCTTTATTTTTCTTTCCACAAATAACAAAACTGTTAGAAATACTGTTTTGCAATCAGATGAGATGGGACACATTCAGGGACTGTGGAAAACAGTGTAGAAATTCCTAAAGAACTAAAAGTAGATTTGCTATTTGATCCAGCAATCCCACTACTAGGTATCTACCCAGAGGAAAATAAGTCATCACACAAAAAAGATACATGTTTGTAGCAGCACAATTTGCAATTGCAAAAATATGGACCCAGAATGCCCATCAATCAATGAGTGGATAAAGAAAATGTGGTATCTATATACCATGAAATACTACTCAGCCATAAAAAGGAATGAAATAATGGCATTCGCAGCAACCTGGATAGAATTGGAGGCTATTATTCTAAGTGAAGTAATTCAGGAATGGAAAACCAAACTTTGTATGTTCTCACTCACAAGTGGGAGCTAAGCAGTGAGGACATAAAGGCATAAGAATGATACAATGGACTTTGGGGACTCTGGGGAAAGAGTGGGAAGGGGCGAGGGATAAAAGACTACACACTGGGTACAGTGTACACTGCTTGGGTGATGGGTGCACCCACCAAAATTTCAGAAATCACCACAAAAGAACTTATTCATGTGACCAAACACCATCTGTTCCCCCAAAAACCTATAGAAATAAAAGATAAATTAAAAAACTTGTTTAAGTTGATTTACTCAACAACTCTTTGTCGGAATGTAACTCATATTTGTATCCTGCCCTTTATAACAAATGCTCTCAGTTTGCAGAAAAGTAAATGAGGTGTAGGACATGAAAACTCCTTTCTCCATTGTATCTTGGATCAGAAGATGAAGATAAGAATACAGATACCTAGTGAATTATCTGTATGAGTTTTAATTTAAATCTCTTCTTGTATGTAAATTGAGGATAATATTTATCCTAGAATGTTGTTTATAAGAAGTTGATTTTTTTCTGGTATTATGGGAAAGTGTTTAAGAGTAAGGTGCTTGATGAAAGATTCTTTTGAAGCGAAGAACAACATGCCACAATGGAAACACACCTGGGATGAGACTGTGAAAATTTAACAAGGTGATAGGTCATTAAGCATGTTACATATCCTTTGGGATGTAATAAGCACTTAATACATGGGTCTATATCGCTAAAATCATTGTCTCATGCTGGACTCACACATTGCCATCCTAGACTCTACATTTTTATATATTGTGTTTTCTTTTTTGGTTCATGTTTGTCATGGATGGTTTCTTGTGACATTTTTACATGCTCCAAATGGACTTTAGATGGAATGCAGTCAGCTAAATGAGGTGGTCACTCTTTACTTAACTGTTATGTTGCCTGTGTCTACCAATACTTGAAACCAGCGAGCTGTGGGAAATATACTAATGAGTAAGTGGGACTCCACTGTAGTCAGTGCCTTAGTTTGGGATTAGGTCCTTTTTGCTATATCTCAACCTTCCTTGTTCTTTGGCCCCTGAGTGCCTGGGATGGAGGGAGAGAAAGATAACACAAATACTGGAGGATTTTCCCAAAGTAGCCTGCCTCAGATAGCCCTTCTCCAACTGTGTGAGTTACTGGTAGACATAGAAAACAAATTCATAATAAAGTATTTTGGAGAAGACTGTGTCTTGTATGTTCCACCTTCCCTCCCCTTGGTGACTCAAAAAGAACTTTAGCATAGAAAGTGTTTCCAGAACTATGGCATTAAATAAATCTGTTTATATTGATGGAACCAGTGTTATTTGACAATGGAACCTTTTGTCTGAGTTATAGGCAGAAGTTCTGTCCCAGGATTACAGTTTGAAAAACAATGTTATGTAGGGAAAGAAAGAACACGATAGGAATGTAAATCTTTCCTGTCACTTAAGGTAAAATAAATTGAGTTTTGAGAAGTGATAGAGAGAAGCTTTACCACTTAAAAATAGATCTTTAAAATTTTTGTTTCTTAAAGAAAAGGAATGAGAAGGGCATGAGGAAGAAAGAATTTAGTCAATATTTGCTCTGAAAAATGACTCAGATAACCAATGGTAAAGATAAGCATAATACTAGCAAAACATATGGGGGTACTGGTGTATTTTCTAGGCTTAAAAGGGGTGTAGAAAAAACATGCTAGATAGGTTTGACCATATATCATAAAACTTCCATGGTCAAAAAATTAAAAATCAATTTAAAATGTGGGAAAATATTTGTAGAAAATACATACCTGGAAGTTTTCTTACTATTTTTGCAAAGGGCTCATAGATATATGAGAACAGTTCTGACTAAAATGTCCAGAGAAAATGCTTAAACCAAACATTGGAAAATATCTCACAGCTTGGTAAGTAAAATGCACTTTGTTCTTGTAAATGGCAAAATAAATTTGTAAATATCTATCAAGAGGCTTTAAAATGCTTCTGTAGTTGGACTCAGTAATTTCATTACAAATAACTTGTCCAATGGAAAGAACTCCAAATGGGGAGTAAGATGGGGTGGCACCTCTTATTCAGGGACGTGTTTGTTGCTGAGTCTGTGCATAACCCAAGCATCCCCTGGATATTTTAGCTTATAGCTTAAAATGACATGCTTTTTCCTTTAATGTCAAATTATAATAGACTCCAGTTCTCATTCTTCTGGGCTGCAAGAAATGCAACTGTACCAGTGTCTCTTCTCCATGGAGTTCAGGGTATTCCAGGGGAAACAATGAGTGCTGGTGCTCTCCTGCCTCCTTGATTGCCTCTGGCTGCTTCTGCTCCACTGACAGGCTCCAGGACTAATTGCTGCAAGTTTCTTCTGCTTCCCTGCTGTGGCTAGTCTTCCCTCTGCCATTTCTTCCCAAACCTGCAAACCAGCCTATCTTATCCAGAGCCACCCACAGCATAGTTGAGGCCAGTCTGCAACTTCTAATGAGTCTTTATTAAAGACTGGGTATAATAAGAGAAAAACATGTAATTCTGGGAACATTTTGGAGCTATGACATGGCTTACCCTGAGCCTACAGGTAGATTGCTCCATGGGCTTCAGAAAGACAAGTCTCATCAGAACAAAGGAGTCAATTCATAGATTATTTTGCCAAAGGTTTAGTGATTTAGTCTTGAACAACATTACGTGTGGGTCTCCACAGTCAAGTCTTGGTTGAGTTCAGCCAAACTGTACAGTCTTGTCTTCATTTAAAGGTGCTTCCTGTAGAGTTTCAAACCATAATTTTTAAATAAGAATCTAATTCAAGGAGAACACAATGAATTGGCCACAATTTAGAGGGATATTGCTATCTAAATTCTTTCTTACAAAAGAATCATTTCTCCCAATCGCTATCTTTCAAACATGTCCCACAGAAGGAAATATAGAAAGACCCAGTAGAGTCATACAAATATACAACTGGAAGAAGAGTTCCACAAAATATACTTAGTTTTACTCCTTCAATACACTTTAAATATTCTGCTTCAGAAATCAGCAGACTATGATTTGTGTATCAAATCCAGCTTGACACCTGTGTTTGTACAACTTGCAAGTCAGGAATGGTTTTTACATTCTTAAATGATTGGAAACAGTCAAAAGGAGAATATTTTATGACTCATGAAAATTATTTGTAATTTAGATTTTAGCATCCATAAAAAAAGTTTTGCTGGAACACAACCATCTTTATATTAGAATCTCTCAACAACAGTTCTACTGACATTTTGGCCTGGATAACTCTTAATTGTGGGGATATCCTTTGCATTGTAAGACATTTAACCACATTCTGCCCTCTGCATTAGATGCCTTTAACACCCCTCATTCCAGGTGTGATAACCAAAAATGTATCCACATGTAAGGTAATAATATATAAACCACAACTACTGATTTATGAATAGTCCTTGGATGCTTTGGGACTACAAGGGCAGTGTGGGGTTCCTCTATTTTTCCCATTTTTTCTTTGTCTTGACCAAAAAATATGGAGTATCTTGATTGCTCTTGTGACCTTACCAGCTCCATGTTTTTCCCTGCATACTTGAACTCAAGCTTGGACATTTCCAGGCACTGATACACTTGTTTAGGTTGTTGTCTCAGATACGAAAAGAAACTAGCCCTGGTCCTGAGATGAATTCTTTAAACTGTCCTATAAATTCCATAACCCAACACATTCATTGGGCATATGCCCAGCAGAACCTCCCTTTCTCTTGCCATCTGTCATGAGGATTGCTGCAGCACTTTGTAAATTTCTCTAATAAATGCTTTGGATGGATCACCCTGGTGTTTAGTGTTTCTATCTTTGGAATCCCAATTGGCCCCATCTTGGGAGGGTTTTGGGCACTCCTTTTTGAGACCTCCCCTGCAGTCACTTTTGGGGTTACTCTAGCCTCAGGTTTGGATGGATGAAACAAATAGAGCTGAGTAGTTGTCACATAAACAGTATGCCAGCAAAGCCTAAAATGCTTTCTATATGGGCCTTTATAGAAAAGCTTGACAACCATGTTTTATGTATTTATTGTATCGCATTCCTTTAAATAATGCTAGTCATAACCTACTAAGATGATTTCATTTCCCGGTAATAGAACTCAAACTGCAGCTTGAGAAATTCTATTTCTATGTAGCTTTAGAGAGACAGTATACTAAGTATTGGATAAGAGCATGTGCCTTAGAGCCACATATATCAAATCTTGACTGTGCTACTTGATAGCTGTGTGGAGATGGGCAGATTACTTAACCTCTCTGAGCTTCCATAACCTCCTATGTAGAGAGAAGGTGATAATAATAGTAGTTAAGCAGTTAATTTTTGTAAAAGGTCTAGCACAGTGCTTTGGTACATAATGAGCACTAGTGGTTTGCTATTATTATTGGTGCTTAACATATTTCATGTTATGGTAAAATAATGAAGAGCATTTTTAATATATGAACATAACACTGGAGGAATTAGGAGAGAACTAGGGTGTCTAAATGGAGCTAGTTCAGACATTTCATTAATTTTAACATATAATGTAACAAAAAATATAAAATATAAAATGATTAGGAAGATGATTTTATTTATCTATTTTTTATTTATTTTATTTTATTATTATTTTTTTAAGACAGAGTTTCGCTCTTGTGGCCCAGGCTGGAGTGCAATGGCACAATCTTGGCTCACTGCAACCTCCACCTCCTGGGTTCAAGTGATTCTGCTGCCTCAGCCTCCCGAATAGCTGGGATTACAGGCGCCTGCCACCTGTAATTTTTTTATTTTTAGTATAGGCAGGGTTTCAGCATGTTGGCCAGACTGGTCTCGAGCTCCTGACCCCAGGTGATCTGCCCACCTTGGCCTCCCAAAGTGCTGGGATTACGGGCATGAGCCACTGCACCCGATCAGATGATTTTAATTCATATACAAATTAGAAACAAATTTTCTCCAATTTTTGAAGGAGAAATTTGAGTTTTCTTCCATAAGTACAACAGTTTTTACCTTAGGTTTTATGATTGAAATGACTATGAACAATTCTGGATGAATAATTTTTAATCACAATTTGAAAATTAAGTTTTATGGAATTCAAATTTTTAAGGGAGCTGAAACTCAACTTAAAGAAATGATATTTAAAGCTGTTCTTCACTTATCTTGACTGTGTTATTTCACAATGTATAGGCATATAAAAATATCAAGTTGTACACAATAAATATGTATGATCTTTAGTTTATATGTATTTAATGTGTCTAAAATAAAAACAATCTTCATTTTCTCTTTTTGATAAATGAAAGTTGAGATTTCTTGTTATAATGAAAATGGATTTAAAATGCAATCTAATGCTTACATATTATGTATTTAAAAATCAGATGAATGTCTAATTTGCTGAATGTTCACTAGTTGTTAGTCATGCTGCAGCCTAGACATCAGTAAAGTGACACATCAGAAGAAAGGTACAAACATATCTAATAACAATGAAGATGAATTTGGGAGTCCAGGTGGAGCTGCATTTGCCAGGAGACACTATCAGCTCCACCTATCAACCAATTTTTGCCTGGCTGTATCTCCACCGACACTCGGAACATGTACATGTCCTGCAGCGTCATGGTCCCTTATCACAATGGGGCCATCGGGGTAATTGCTTTTCTGCAACATGCACATTGTAGCAAAGCAGAGAGCAGAGCCATGGATGCTGGATTAGCCTCTATGGGGACCATCAGCTCAGCATCAGACCTTCTCTGTTGTCTTTCTGGAGTGCCTGAGGAAGCTGCCACGGCCAGAGCTTTCCACACCAGGTGGCCAGCTGCTCCATTTTAGTTCCGATATTTCTTGGGGCACCTATAATTTGTATGCTGATGGAAAGCTCTTTTTGTTCATCACTATTCCTCTAGCAGAATGCCTGCTACGGAGTAGGCACTTAGTAAGATTTGTTGAGCGAATGTTTATAAACTGGCCAGTATCTTACATGACCATATTCATCCTTATCTCAAAAGAAAATCTTTGATTTCTCTTTGTGTGGTTAAAAAGCTGACTCACATTCATAGCAGCATTGTTTGTCATAGCTAAAATGTAGAAACAATGCAAATATCCATTCAGGGATGAGTAGATAAAAAATGTAATACTATATATGTGCAATGGAATAGTGTTCAGTCTTAAGAAGAAATTCAGACACATATTCCACAACACGGATAAACTTTAAAAACACTGTACCAAGTGAAATAAACCAGACACAAAAGAAGAAATATTATATAATTCCATTTGTATGAGGTACCTAGAGTAGTCATATTCATAGAGTCAGAAAATAGAATAGTGGTTACCAGGGTCTGAAAGTAGGGGACAATGTGGAGTAATTGTTTAAAGAGCAGAGAAAGTTTCAGTTTGGGAAGATGAAAAATTCCTGGAGATTAGATGGTGGTGATGGCTGCACACAATGTCAATGTATGTAATGCCACTGAATTAAAAATGAATTGACACTTAAAATAGTTAACTTTGAATTAACACTGAATTAACTCTTGTAATGGTTAAAATGGTAAATTTTATGTTATGAATATTTTATTACACACACAAACTGGGTGAGAGTGACAGTGGGCTAAACTATAATATCAATGGACATATGTTGAACTCTTTCTATGCCCCAGGCACATTAAATGCATAATTTCACTTGGTTTCCCATTGTACATACTATTATTTAACCTTCTTTTACATTTGAGGGAACTGAAACTCAAGAATTTTAAATAACTCACAGGAGATCGAGAGCTGGTGTTCCAACCTAGAGATGGAAAGACCCATGCTCTTCAACATAATCAGGGTGTGAATTACAGCCTTTCTTACAGCTTCCAATGTTTATAAATTAATTTAATCCCTTAGGCTTGCTGGGGTTTGCTGAATTGGAATATAATTTTGTTTTTTCCAGGGCAAGGGAACAAGACCCAAGAAGACAAGATAGCAACTAACGAACCAATAATGTTAGAAACTGGCCCTCCCGACCACATCAATTTACAAAGGCATTTCCTATTGCTAGTCCCTATTTGCTGCTCAATCTGCATGGTCCCAGGAGTAACTTTCAGAGCTGGATAGCAATCATCACCCAGGAAGTTTTCTTATTTAACATTGTTTTGATTAATTAGTTCCTCTGAAACTTATTTAGTATTAAGGCAAATAGTTATTTTCAAGTTTGGTAATTGCCCATTTCTGAGCACCCAATCAGTCTTAATGATGCCCAAGGCATTTTGTTAGAGAGGGAACATGGAGCAATTGATGGCCTTGGAGCCTCAGTATCACCTTGGAAAAATCATCAGTATTTTTCTGTAATAGGTTCCCTGAAGTGTTAACTACTCTTCACTCAGACCCTAAATTCTTGTGTAGTTCTTTTGGGTTGCATTAATGTTAGAATTAAAAACCACCTTAGAGAAAATTTGGGCTGAGCTATTTCTTTGTTAAGTGAGGGAATTAGTAAGGGGAATGGAAAATCAATCTGTTCCAGGTCACAGAATTGGAAACACAGCCTGATCTAAAATTGAGTCCTCTTGATATTTTGGGCAATGACTATTTCTAGGGTATCATGGTACCTCATAAAGACAGAAGGAAAGAAGGGAGGAAGGAATAAAGAAATAAAGAAAAGAAAGAAGGCAGGCAGGAAGGAAGACAGGAAAGCAGGCAGTCAGGTAGGCAAGCTCAAATAGTGGTCTTGCTGGAAGGGGAATATTAAACATTTTATGATTAACTGATGACTCTTCCTGAAACCATTTAAAAAGAAGACAAATAAGACAATTGTGTTCTTGTGGAATTTTAGAATACTGTGATATGGCAATTGGCAATTTTTTTTCAAAGAGAGTCACTGCTTTCTGGTACTTTCTGATGATGCCAACAAAAAAGGAAAATAACGTTGACCACTCAGAAATAATAGTGTATGTTCTCGATGTTTTCTACTTTGTTCTCTTTGTTGGCAAACTTTTTAGAAAATTTTTCCTAGATCTTTCATCTACAGGTATTTGATATAAACTGAATGAATATTAGCTGTGAAGTATATTTTATGTATTTTTATGTGATTATATTTTATTTCTTACATTTGTAAACTTTGTGAACCTTACAAATATATATATTATGCAAGGGCATGTGCATGCATAGACACACACATACATATAGATCAAAGCAAATATATCATAGAAAAAGTATACTACCATCAGAGGAGGTTTGAACATGATGAAATGATTAGTTTAGTTAGATATTATAGTGCTAATGTTTAAGATAATCTGAGACATGTGGAATTTTGTTTTCTCTCTTTTACAAATCAAAAGAAATATAAGCAATTTGGTATACTTTACATATGTATAAGTTTGGAAATACTTATAGTATCTATTGTTTGACGTTATACTTTTATATTGAAAAATAATGTATGTTCATGGTAAATGTTCCAATAAGGTATGCAGATTACAAGAATACACAAGAAGAACTCAGCAACTGTCCCAGCCCAGACCTCCAGCTTCCCTCTCTAACAGTGCTCATCTTTAATAGTTCCTTGTGTTTTCATCCAGAGGATTTTCATCTGTTTTCAAGCATATATGTGAATAAATTTTTAACATGCACACCAAGGCAGATGGGCAGATATTGTGCGCATGGTTCTGAGCTTTCCTTTTTCTCAATTTAATAAATATCTTGAGAAGATCATGTATCTGTATATTAATCAGTTAATTACCTAACTGAACAAATATTTATTAAGTGCTACTTTACCAGTGCTATAAAGGAGGTTATGCAGAGACATATACACTGGTGAACAAAAACAGACATGGACTCAGCCTTCTTGAGACTTATGGCTTAGGGAGGATATAGAAAAAATTGCATTCACAAAATACTTTAAATTTTTACAACATAACAAGCGCTACAAAGTAGATATTCTTGGACATGGATACTGTAAAGAGTAGAATTCTGTAAAAGTATTTAGAGCAACAGAGTCTGGCTACTGGAAAGTGCTACCTCTTGTCCAGCACATGAATGGATGTACTAAACATGGAACATTGCTTTGACTCACTACAAGATGGCACATATTCTCTAAGAAAATGACTTGCCCTGCTAAACGAAGTTGGAATGGGTTTTTTGCTGTCCATATATGGATTCATAATTATATGAAAATGCAAATATTTATATATTATTCATAACAAAAATACTAATTTTCTTAATTATATTTATAAATACTACTCAAACCAATTTTTTGTTCTTTATTAGTTATATTACGTGGTATACAACTGCATGCATGTTACTAAAAAAAGTGAAACACAGAAATATATAGAGGAAAATGATGAAAAGCCCCTACAACCTTCTACTTCATATCCAGCTGCCTTGAAATTCAACTTTCTTCCCATGGTATATCCACCCACCCCAAACTTTTGTTAAATAGATATTATTATTTTAAAGGAGTTTTATAGTCACAGAAAAGTTGAATGGAAAGTACAGAAGATAATCCCTTTTAACAGATTTTTTCTTTACATTTGTTTGCAGCACTTATTTTAAAATCTTGCTTGAATTAACATTTTTCCATAACTAAATTATCTTCCTTAAAGGGACTACCTTTCTATTTGGTTTCGATTGTTGGCAATTACAATGTTTGTTTGTTTACTTGTTGGGTTTTTAGTATTTGTTTGATATTTAAATGAATAATCAAAACTATTTTACTAGGGGTAGGCTAGACCATCATACAGGTAAGTTCTTGAGACTCATTTTTCCACTAAGCAGTGACTGAGATGCAGGTTTCTTCCCTCTTTTGAGGCCACCATCAATAATACATGATGATCACAGTTTGGCAGAAGGAGAAGAGAGTAGATGGATGATGGTGTATGGAGTTTAATGGCCAGAAACAGAAATTGTGGACTACGCTTTTATCCATATCTCATTAGCCAGAATGTAATCACATGATCCTGGCATAACTACAAAGCATTCAGGGAAATGTAGTTTTTTTATGCTTTCAGAAAGAGCAGATGGGCTTGGTGAGTATCTTACCTGTGTCATTCAGTACAAGATAAACACCTTAAGAACAGGGACATTAAAAAAGTTAAATAAAATAAATCAGAAGATGAACCATTGTCCTATCATTCACACTTATGAGTCTCAATCACTCTGCTCTTACTTGAAATTCTTTCATATGAATAACAGTAATCCTTCATTTAGGACTTGACCTTTTTTTCCCTCTTAACATCTAAAGCTAAATGTCACAGTATATTCTTCTTTCATTCCACTTCTTAGGAATGTTTTCATACTATTTCATCTAGGTTTTCTCTTCTGCCAAGTTGAACTTATATAATGTTAAAAGACGTTAATGTTTCACTGACAACTATTTTCAGCAGTCAAGTATAGAAGGTAAGAAATATATATTCTAAAGGAGATTTCATCTAGGCTACACTTTGCTAAACAAATTCTTTTTTTTTTTATTATACTTTAAGTTTTAGGGTACATGTGCACATTGTGCAGGTTAGTTACATATGTATACATGTGCCATGCTGGTGCGCTGTACCCACTAACTCGTCATCTAGCATTAGGTATATCTCCCAATGCTATCCCTCCCCCCTCCTCCCACCCCACCACAGTCCCCAGAGTGTGATATTCCCCTTCCTGTGTCCATGTGATCTCATTGTTCAATTCCCACCTATGAGTGAGAATATGCGGTGTTTGGTTTTTTGTTCTTGCGATAGTTTACTGAGAATGATGGTTTCCAATTTCATCCATGTCCCTACAAAGGACATGAACTCATCCTTTTTTATGGCTGCATAGTATTCCATGGTGTATATGTGCCATATTTTCTTAATCCAGCCTATCATTGTTGGACATTTGGGTTGGTTCCAAGTCTTTGCTATTGTGAATAATGCCACAATAAACATACGTGTGCATGTGTCTTTATAGCAGCAAGATTTATAGCCCTTTGGGTATATATACAGTCACCACTCCTATTCAACATAATGTTGGAAGTTCTGGCCAGGGCAATTAGGCAGGAGAAGGAAATAAAGGGTATTCAATTAGGAAAAGAGGAAGTCAAATTGTCCCTGTTTGCAGACGACATGATTGTATATCTAGAAAACCCCATTGTCTCAGCCCAAAATCTCCTTAAGCTGATAAGCAACTTCAGCAAAGTCTCAGGATACAAAATCAATATACAAAATCACAAGTATTCTTATACACCAACAACAGACAAACAGAGAGCCAAATCATGAGTGAACTCCCATTCACAATTGCTTCAAAGAGAATAAAATACCTAGGAATCCAACTTACAAGGGACGTGAAGGACCTCTTCAAGGAGACCTACAAACCACTGCTCAATGAAATAAAAGAGGATACAAACCAATGGAAGAACATTCCATGCTCATGGGTAGGAAGAATCAATATCGTGAAAATGTCCATACTGCCCAAGGTAATTTACAGATTCAATGCCATCCCCATCAAGCTACCAATGACTTTCTTCACAGAATTGCAAAAAACTACTTTAAAGTTCATATAGAACCAAAAAAGAGCCCGCATCGCCAAGTCAATCCTAAGCCAAAAGAACAAAGCTGGAGGCATCACGGTACCTGACTTCAATCTATACTACAAGCCTACAGTAACCAAAACAGCATGGTACTGGTACCAAAACAGAGATATAGATCAATGGAACAGAACAGAGCCCTCAGAAATAACACCGCATATCTACAACTATCTGATCTTTGACAAACCTGAGAAAAACAAGCAATGGGGAAAGGATTCCCTGTTTAATAAATGGTTCTGGGAAAACTGGCTAGCCATATGTAGAAAGCTGAAACTGGATCCCTTCCTTACACCTTATACAAAAATCAATTCAAGATGGATTAAAGACTTAAACGTTAGACCTAAAACCATAAAAACCCTAGAAGAAAACCTAGGCATCACCATTCAGGACATAGGCATGGGCAAGGACTTCATGTCCAAAACACAAAAAGCAATGGCAACAAAAGACAAAATTGACAAATGGGATCTAATTAAACTAAAGAGCTTCTGCACAGCAAAAGAAACTACCATCACAGTGAACAGGCAACCTACAAAATGGGAGAAAATTTTTGCAACCTACTCATCTGACAAAGGGCTAATATCCAGAATCTACAATGAACTCAAACAAATTTACAAGAAAAAAACAAACAACCCCATCAACAAGTGGGCGAAGGACGTGAACAGACACTTGTCAAAAGAAGACATTTATGCAGCCAAAAAACACATGAAAAAATGCTCATCATCACTGGCCATCAGAGAAATGCAAATCAAAACCACAATGAGATACCATCTCACACCAGTTAGAATGGCAATCATTAAAAAGTCAGGAAACAACAGGTGCTGGAGAGGATGTGGAGAAATAGGAACACTTTTACACTGTTGGTGGGACTGTAAACTAGTTCAACCATTGTGGAAGTCAGTGTGGCGATTCCTCAGGGATCTAGAACTAGAAATACCATTTGACCCAGCCATCCCATTACTGGGTATATACACAAATTCTTTTGGTAAAATCCGTTGCAGAAATTGTCAACATCACTGTGGAAGGCTTTTATTTTGGGTGATGCAAATCTGAAATAGGTAGCACAATGGCTCTGAACAATGGATCCTAATGAGAATCCAACAGGCTCTCTTGAACAGATAGGGACACAATCAAAACTTCCCAGTCACATTCTCAGAGGGAATTTTGGAGTCCTTGAAGCCCATCTATGCTCTCCCCAGTGATCAATGAACCCAAATTAAGAACTTTTGCTTTAGCAGTGGTAGAGAAAATATTCAGTCTAATAAAGGAGATACAGGATTAAGTGCTAGAGTATCTCAGATTACTAAATGCATTGTGAGAAGTTCTGATTATACTGGTTCTGCCATTAACTCTCTCATGGTTTGGGGCAAGCCATTTCAGTCTCATAATCACAATATATAATTGCTTTACTGTAGTCATGATCACCTGAACTATAAGCAGCACAAGGACAAGGACTATTTCTACTTTGTTCTCTGCTATATCTCTAGTGATCAGCACATAATTGATAAATTGTCCATAGTCGAGGTTTAATGTTTATTAACCTAAATGGGACCTGAATTATTTCTCTTTGATTTTATTTCTGAGCTCATCCAAAATCAGCATCATGAAAAAATATAGTAAATTAGGTTAAGATAATTTTTCTTGTTCAGTCACTCATCAATGAAAACTGAGAAAGTCCTCCTGCAACTGCCTTCAGCTTGCAGCTGAGAGAGTAGCTGTTGGCAAAAGACTTAAGGCACAGGTATCTAGAAAGATGGTCTTTGGATACACATACGTGGTATCCTGGGGTAAATGGTTCCTGGGGTAAATGGACAAAAAGATACAGATTCTTAGAAAGGATTGAAGGGGTTTTATCAGTTGTCGTATTTCCTCTCCAGCTTTCTGCCCAGCCAGGGCTGGTATCTTTGAGGTGGTTTAATAAGGCTGATTTAACAAACGTTGGAAAAAACTGCAAACTGGGGTCAACTGCTACTACTTGAGCAAAATTGCTAGTCTGTGTGAAGAAGCACTTCTAGGATGTCACTGATAGAAACAGGAAGAAACAAATAGAAAAGAACAAGTCCTTTATCTCCTTTCCCACCCATAAAGTACATATGTATATAAGTATGCATATGTATATATGTATATACATATGTACTTTAATTTTTAATTCTTTTTGCTTTTTCTGATTTTTTAATACTTTCAATTGGCATGTATTGAAAAACCTTTATGTATGTATAAAACCTAGTTTAATCTTCACTACAACTTTATGATGAAGACAAGTTATTTCCATTTTATATGTTAAAAAACTGAGCTTTGGTGAGTTTAAATACACTTCTCTGGGTCTCACAATTAGTGAATTGTAGACATGGGATTAATACTTACACCTTCTCCATCTTTAGTTTGCCAATTAGCCATTACTAAGCTCACCTAAGATGTTACTTTGCCTCGTAATTGTATTTCTTCCAGCATTTAGCTCAGTGCCAGGCACATAGGAATTGCTCCATAAATATGAATCAATATCGTCTTTTTTTTTTTCTTCAGCAAATCCCAAAAGGATGCTCAGGATTATATGGCCTCCCAGTATTGTAATCACTGGTGAGAAAATTCCTGTAGAGTGAATAAATGACATTTTGTATTCTATGGTAATATGGGAAATTCTGAACTTCAGTTAAAATTCAAATGACATTCTCATAAAAGTAAGTGTTGTAGTTAATTAACCAAAACAGGAAGGTCAGTAAATCACAATATAGACAAAAAACAAAATGATTCTTAATATAAGTAAACCACGACTTAAATCTACTTTGTGAAATAGAATAAGATTTTCTTTCTTATAATTATATTTGAGGAAGAAAGCTAAAGTGTCCTCAAATGTCTTTTATTCAGACTTCATTTTCTCTTTCAGTGAGCAGGTAGTTAGATGCATATTTGACAGATTTTTTTTTTATAAGAGGTCAATATTGTCATGACTTTAAAGTATTTCTCTCTCTCTCTCTCTCTTTCTTTCTTTCTTTCTTTCCCTTTCTTCCTTTCTTTCCCTTCCTTCCTTCCTTCTCTTCTTTCTTTCTTTCTTTCTTTCTTTCTTTCTTTCTTTCTTTCTTTCTTTCTTTCTTTCTTTCTTTCTCTCTCTCTCTTTCTTTCTTTCTTTCTTGTCTCTCTTTCTTTTGAGACAGAATTTTGCTCTTGTCACCCAGGCTGGAGTGCAGTGGCACAATCTCGGCTCACTGCAACTTCCGCCTCTTGGGTTCAAGCGATTCTCCTGCCTCAGCCTCCCAAGTAGCTGGGAATGCAGATGCCCACCACCACATCTGGCTACTTTTTGTACTTTTAGTAGAGATGAGGTTTCACCATGCTGGCGAGGCTGGTCCCGAACTGCAGACCTCAGATGATCCACCAGCCTCGGCTTCCCAAAGTGCTGGGATTACAGGCCGGAGCCACTGCGCCCGGCCAAGTGTTTCTTTTTCTATACCAGATAGTGCATGGGATAGAAGCTCCTTAAGAGGGGTGAGAATTATCTGCTCAGTAATACAAAGCAAGGCCGAGGAGGGAAAACTTGCTTGAATTTAAGACCAGCCTGGACAATGTAGTTATACACCACCTTTATAAAGACAAACAAGCTCTAAAATCTTAGTGTTTGTCAAAAGCGCAAAATAAACTGGTGATGTAGGAAAATTTTATCTGTATTGGCGACACTTCTCCCATAGAATACAGCAGCACCCAGCATTAAAACTCTTAATCGAAATCATTAAGTGGCTCTGAAAAGAGCCTTTGGGTTTGAACACGCGATAATTTCACACAGCGGGAAAAGTGGGCATTCTTGTTTAGGAACCAAAAAATAAGTTTGCAACTTAAAATGCAATCAATTTGGAGCAACACGTCCACCAGTCTAGAGCTGGTAAGTTTGAGTATTCAAAATGAGTTGAAAGTACATTTAGTGCCTATAATAACCCACTCTAGATAGCATAATGTGATCTTTGTAGGAGTCTCGTGGAAGTTAATGTCAACTAGGATATTGTAGTTTACCAAGTACCTGAGAAAAATTTAAATTTCTTAATAGATAAGGATTAGGAGACAAACTTTATGGAAATGAAAAAAAAAATGCCATGGAATAAACCTTTAGTTATTCGGCAAGTAATATGAGGGGTTTTAGCTGTCTTTGAAAAACTTCAGATTTGTAAGACAAAGAAGAGCAGAGAATATAAATAGTAAAGGGCCTGGCAACAATGTGTCTTTGTTTTTAGGTAATGTTGGTTGGCAGTCAGCAAAAAGGCCAGGCTCAGGCAGTCTTAACTTGAAAAGGCTAACAGGAATCACCAAAACTATGTATACAACTTCTGCTGTGGGTTTTTTAAATATCAAGATTACCGATTTTAATGTTAGGGTAATATAGACTGAAACCCCTACATTCCTCCACCCTCATGGGCATTTCTCTTGGATCATAAAATGTGGGGGTAGCAGGAGGTAAGGGAAGAGTATTTTAAGAGCCTAGATCTGAGATGTACGTTCAATTTTTCCTCAAAGTATCTGGTGGTTGGACTAGTAATTTATTCATTTATTGAGAACCTATTAAATTACAGAAAATACTTAGTAAAGAGCAGTGAGAAAGATAGAAACTATCCCTGTGCTTTACCTGGATTGAAATCTAAAGTGGATATTTATACAATAAACTCACAAACTAAAGAAAGAAAAAAAAAAGAGGGGTGAGAAAACTATGTATAATATATATTATTTGATGAAGACAGCTGAAGTGTCCTCAAATGTCTTTTATTCAGACTTTATTTTCTCTTTCAGTGAAACAGGTAGTTAAATGGTTATTTGACAGATTTTTTTTTACAAGAGGTCAATATTGTCATGACTTTCAAGTATTTCTTTTTCTTTATATTTATATATATATGTTTTTTGGGAAACATACTATACATTTACATTTATAATTAATATATAGCTAAAGCAGCATCTGAAAAAGTACCAAACTGAATTGCACAGACTGCAGGTGCATTAAGCCTGGAGAGGACTGAGCAATCACTAAGAGTTCAGCTCCTTTTGGTGTGACCACTCCCAGAGTTATTTACTTAAAAAATCCTCCTGATGAAAGAAGCTGTCAGATAGTTGAAGATGAGAGAGATGATTTGTGGGAAGAAGTTTTCTAAGCATGCCTTGATTTCAGCAATGGATGCAGCCAGCTTTAAGTCTATGAATGAATGACAAGTAAGTTTAGCTTAAGAAAACTCTTTCGTGTGTGTGTGTGTGTATGTATTTATTCAATGTGTTATGCATTGCATTTAATCATTCTCTTTACAAGGAATCTTTGGAAGAATGATTTCAAAGTTAATATCGAAAATGGCAGAATGGGCCAGGTGTGGTGGCTCACGCCTGTAATCCTGGCACTTTGGGAGGGTAAGGCTGGTAGATCACTTGATGCCAGGAGTTTAGGACAAGCCTGGCCAACATAGCAAAAAACAGCCAGGCAAAAAATACTAAAAAGGCAAAAACTAGCCAGGTCTTGTGGCACATGCCTGTAGTCCCAGCTACATGGGGGGTTAAGGCATGAGAATCGCTTGAACCCAGGAAGTGGAGGTTGCAGGGAGCCAAGATCATGTCAGTGCACTCCAGCCTGGGCAACTGAGTGAGACTCTGTCTCAAAAAAAAAAAAAAAAAAAAAGAATTAAAAATGGCAGTGTTTGCTGAAATTTTGATTCATTTTGCTTGTCTTTGGATACTACTAATTGTTTATATGAACTATGAGAAATGTTGAGTCGAATTTGTGGTCTACACAGAGCAGTGAATATGACATGTTCATGTGCAATACGTTTTATCCCTGCCTGAATTTTACGTTTAGTTCTATTTTTTTTCTGTTTGCATCTTCTCGATTTATTTACCTATGTAAATATGGAAGATGGCTTAATGTGTCTTATGTGTCACACTCAGCCACCTTCAACCATTTTTATTTGTAAAATCATTGAATTATATATGAATATGTGCATACATTTATACTTATGCTTATTTTATACATTAATAACCAACCATAGATGAAAATGAGAGGCTAGAGAAGAAATGCCTCTTACAACTTTCATTCTCAATCGGAATTTTGAGAACAGGTCCAGAAATGAATTACCCAGCTTTTCTAAAAGCCACAGAAAGTGTAGTTTCTGCAGGAGAACACATGAAAATCTAGGCACTCATAGCGTGGGAGCAACTGGAGATCCTTGGGAGGTAAAGCAAATGTATCTGAGGGATGGATCGCTGAGATGAACAAATCACATAGTTTAGGGAATGCAATACGTAGGTTTAACTTCTAATTTTCAAAGTGCTTTCTCACATCTGTAATGTCATAAAGTCCTGTTGAACTAAGAAAGGCAGGTAAGAAAAAAAGAGTTCTGGAAGTGTCCAGTTTCTTCAATATTGGCAGCAGCTCACTAAATTCAGAATCCAGGTCTCCTGATTCTTGGTACTAAGCTGTTTCTAGGAACACGCTTTGTTAAAAACAACCTTAGAACTTTACCTCGATACACAAAGACAACCCAAATATTATTTAATCCAATCCTCTTTGTTTATATGAATAACTTGTACTTTGACAATAAATGTAGCATTGATATTTGTTTAAATAAAAAATAGATTCTTAAAAGCCTAGTGAAAATAAATTGTCTTTCATCATATAAGTACAGTTCCAAGAAAACGCTTTTTATTTTTTATTTTTCTAGCTCAATGTTAAGTCCATGTCTTAGCAAAATAGCCAAGACTAGGTTGTTGTGTTTTCTTTTCCTAGAAATGGAGACTTGTAAAGCCTTGGCTCTTCTAGCAGAAATTTAACAGCTCTTGCCAACCCAGAACACTGGCAATCATAATGTCACCCTTCTTTGATTGTGGTAGGTGGTAGTAGGGGCCCTCTAAGTGACATTGTGTCCCTCATGACTGGCAACAGTCCTCTCCAGCTCCCACCTCTGAGGGAAAGAAGACTCTGGGGTTGTTTCCATAACTTTCTATTTAGTTTCCTATTACTGCCGTAACAAATAACCACAAACTTCCTGGCTTCAAACAACAAAAATCTGTTTTCTACAGTTCTGTAGTTCAGAAGTTTGAAGTCAGTACCACTGGGCCAAAATCAAGGTGTCGGCAGGGTCGTGCTCTGTCCAGATGTTCTAAAGGAGAATCCATTCCTTTTCTATTTCAGCTCCTTGTGGCTGCTGGCATGACTTGGCTTGTGGTTGCATTACTCCAACCTCTTCTCCCATGATCACACTCACTACCTCCTCCTTTTCTGAGTCAAGTCTCCCTCTGCCTCCCTCTTGTAAGGATATTTGTAATTACATTTTGTGCCCACCCTGATAATATCCCCATCTCAATTCTCTTAATAACATATGGAAAGACCCTTTCCCCATGTAAAGTAATATTCCCAGGTTCCTGGAATTAGAAAATGAGTATATTTGTGGGTCATTATTCCTTCTATCATACTTTCACAAACAATTCATTTTAGGTAGTTTCATTCTTTTTAAAAAAAACCTATTAATTCTGTAGGAAATTCAACCCAAATTATGAACACAATTTTCCAATGATTAATACTTTTATTTCATTTCCAGACACATTTTAGGGTCACGAAGGTAGCTGTGGTTTGAAAATACCATTTTGTAAGCACATCTGTTCTTTTTATTCAAATTACATACGTTCTACTTTATGCAAACTTGTATTCTTAGTTTTGTGAACAAAAATTTGAATGAAATACAATTATTTACTCCAAAGAAATTATAGAATAATGTACTTCCAATGATATTATAAAATGTGGTTAGCATAATAAGATTACTTTTTTTACTGTTTATCCTTTTAGAGTTCACAGAAGATTTGGGGTTACAGCAAGTGCTCTTTTTCATCTTTCTCATCATTTATGTCATCAGCCTCTCAGGCAACATCATTCTGAATTCTCTCATCTGTGCTGATTCTTGGCCCTACACACCCATGTATTTCTTCACTGGAAACCGGTTCCTTCTGGATCTCTGGTATTCCTCTGTCCACATCCCCGATATCCTGCTGACTTGCATTTCTGATGACAAAACCATCTCCTTTCCTGGCTGCCTTGCTCAGTTCTTCTCTGCTGTGTTGGCCTAAAATGAGTGCTATATGATGGCTTCCATGGCTTATGACCGCTACATGGCAATCTCCAAGCCCCTGCTTTATTCCCGGGCCACATTCCCAGAGTTATGTGCCAGTCTTGTTGAGGCTTCACACCTTGGCGGCTTTGTAAACTCAACCATCATCACCAGTGAGACACCTACCTTGAGCTTCTGTGGCAGCAATATCATTGATGATTTCTTCTGTGATCTGCCCCCACTTGTAAAGTTGGTGTGTGATGTGAAGGAGCGCTACCAGGCTGTGCTGCATTTTATGCTTGCCTCCAATCATCACTCCCACTGCACTTATTCTTGCGTCCATCTCTTCATCATTGCAGCCATCTCGAAGATCCGTTCCATTAAGGGCCGCCTCCAGGTCTTCTCCACTTGTGGGTCTCCCCTGACGGCTCTCACCTTGTACTATGGTGCAATCTTCTTTATTTACTCCCAACCAAGAACTAGCTATGCCTTAAAAATGGATAAATTGGGGTCAGTGTTCTATACTGTGGTGATTCCAATGCTAAACCCCTTGATCTATAGCTTAAGAAATAAGGATGTCAAAGATGCCTTGAAGAAAATGTTAGATAGACTTCAGTTTCTTAAAGAAAAATATTGGTAAACAATTTTTAACAGATTATCTCCACGTCATTGTTTTCAGCTTATATTCTCAGAAATAAATAAAAGATAAAATAATTTTATAACTTGGAAACGGAAGTCTGCATTTTTGTTTTTAAGTTGGAGCTAAGGTATTGGAATGTATTTTTTAAATAAATGAGGCTGGGGCATTTGCAAAAGCTACTATGCATGGTAGCTTGGAACGGAATCTATAAAATTGTTAAGGGGTCTGAGAATATTGAAAGAAAGCAGATTAAATTTTTTTTTCATTTGACATTTCATAAGTTGCCTACGTCTATAGCATTTTATACAATAAATGAGAATAATATAACTTGTTATGTAATCATTGTTAAGATTAAATAGATTAAGTGATTTACTTGAAATAATGAGGGTCATTGGTTTGAAAAAAGAATGCAAACCCAGAACTTACAAAAAATAACAATGAAAACAAAAAACAAAGGTATTTACCTCACTTGTTAGATGAGAGAGTGAGTTAGGAAGTCACACAAAAAGTATCTACTGCCCTATAGTAGATATGGGCTGGCCTGTAGTGAGCGCTACCTCCTGGCTGCCATGGGTTATGACTGCTATGAGGCAATCTCCAAGCCCCTGCTTTAATCCCAAGCCACGTCTACAGAGTTATGTGCCAGTCTTGTTGCAGCTTCTTGTTGCGACATCTACTGTATGAATTAGCTGTTTGTCTTGGTGTGCTCCCCTCGCTGCCCTACCCCGACAGGCCCCAGTGTGTGTTGTTCCCCTCCCTGTGTCCATGGATTCTCATTGTTCAGCTCCCACTTATAAGTGAGAACATGTGGTGTTTGGTTTTCTGTCCCTGCATTAGTTTGCTGAAGATAATGGCTTCCAGCTTCATCCGTGTCCCTGCAAAGGACATGATCTCATTCCTTTTTATGGCTGCATAGTATTCCCTGGTGTATATGTATACCTAGGTGATGGGTTGATAGGTGCAGCAAACAGCCATGGCACATGTTTACCTATATAACAAACCTGCACATCCTGCACATGTAGACCAGAATTTAAAATTAAAAAACAAAAATGAAAAGAAAAAAAAAAGAGTATCTACCATAAAGTTCTCCTAGAAACAAGTTTGTTTTTTTCGTTTCTGGCTCTCATTTTTTAGCTTGCATGATGCAAAGATGACAGATTTCCTTAGCAATAGACAAAATAGAGAATGAATATCAATACTTAGAACCACCATGCACTTTCAATAAAAGAGTATTTTCCTTAACAATGAAAGAATTAAGGACAGTAGTGCAGCAGTTGTATGAGACAGGCAGAAAGGGAGATGTAGGTAGGACATAGAAACAGATCGAGAAGTAGGACCAGAGAGAGATTTCAGAAAACTTTATATCCGAGGGAAGATTTAGAATGAAAATCTTTACCAGGAAAACAATGACTGATAACAATCAAGTATATATGAATTTTTGTATGTTTTTTTTAATGTTATGTTATAAATTAATTAAAAATTAGAGACAATTTCACCATGACATATCAAATTTCCTGGTTATAGTAGTCTTTTTACAAATAAAACATGAGGTTTTACCAAAATAGTGTTGGTAATTGAGTGTATCAGTTTGCAAGTGTTGCTATAACAAAATAGTGCAGCCTGGATGGCTTACAAAACAGAAATTTACTCTCCCACAGTTCTGAGGGCTAAAAGCCCAAGTTGAAGGTGCTGGCAGGATTGGTTTCTTGTGTATGTTCAACTTTCCTTTTTATAAAGACACCAGTCAGATTGGATTGAGCCTACTTTAACTGCCTCATTTTAACTTCATCACTTGTTTAAAGATCTCATCTTCAAATATAGTCAGATTCTAAGGTACAGTAAGTTAGGGCTTCAACAAATGGATTTCCAAAAGACACAATTCAGACCATTGTGCATGTGTGGGATAGGTAGTAGATTGCCGGTGGAGGAGACAAGAGCGAGTAGCCTGGACAGAGAAAAGAGCGTGTGACATGGAAAAAAAATATAGACCACATGATACTTTTTAGAAAAGTCTAATTAGTACAATTTGGAAAAATTCAATTATAAGACAGACCCAACATAACAGGATTATATTATGAGTTAGATCCATTAAGAGAGTCAACTTTTAATGAAATATTCCTCATTTCATCATTTTCTAATTTATTTAACATCCCCAAACTCCAGATGAACTCTAATTGAGTCTTTGGAGACAGAGGTACGTATTTCTGTGCTGGTGTGAGGGAGGTGTCTCAAAGGGCTGTTGAGGACATACATATATTGAGTGCAACAAAGGCACATTAAACACCAGAAGAGAGGGAAAAGTGTGACTTCCAAGAGCTGGCCTTCCAAACCAAGGGTAAGCACCTGGGATCAGGGGCAAATAGGAAGTCTGGCCTTTCTCTGACCTCAGCTGCAAATCAGAAGGGGGATACAGAATCTGGCACGGCTGTCAAACGATTTACTGCTGCACCACACATGCACACAGGTGCACGTGCAGACTCCCTAGTAAATCAAATTCCATTCAGTGATACATCCTGCTCTCACGTAGAATTTGAAACTCAGTCTTGTATCTATGCTGGGCCATCATATATTCACTCACACAGTGAAAAAATCAAGAGGACAAAAAAATGTGACTTGCTTTTTTGACCCCAGTGATTGTGCTACTCTAAACTACTAGTGTATGGCATTTTCACTTCTTGGTATTAATTTTGAGATGCCAGGAAGGCACATTCCTACCAAAGAGTTTTTCTTGCTCTAGTGAAGGGATCAGAGATCTGGGCTGCTGCAGGGGAAGATGCATCTTGATAGGCCATTTCTATAGAAGATTCTTTAGCATGATTGGCTCAGACATTTTCTGTGCCTTTTATTTCACATTCACAGATACTTGGTAACTTGTTTCAAATTAGGTCTCGGAAGTGAGACTTCTCTTTTATTTACTCTTCTTTCTTATTTTGATACAGTACACTGTGCTGGGAAAGTCCACTTGAGGATAGATCTTGTTCTGAATATTTTGAACCAGGTTAGAAATAGACTGTACTGGCTGGGCACGGTGGCCCAAGCCTGTAATCCCAGCACTTTGGGAGGCTGAGGAGGGCGGATCACGAGGTGAGGAGTTCAAGACCAGCCTGGCCAACATAGTGAAGCCCTGTCTTTACTAAAAATACAAAACATTAGCCAGGCATGGTGGTGGGTGTCTGTAATCCCAGCTACTTGGGAGGCTGAGGCAGGAGAATCACTTGAACCTGGGAGGCAGAGGTTGCTGTGAGTGGAGATTGTGCCACTGCAGTCCAGCCTGGGTGACAGTGTGAGACTCCGTCTCAAAGAAAAAAAAAAAGAAATAGAAAGTACTTTGCTAAACCAGCTTCAAGATATGAAGGTAATTAACCAATTACTCACTCTAGAAATATTTACTGAGTGCTAATTCATGACTAGGAACTGTTCTTTGTGCTGGAATACAGCAATAAACAAGACAGAGAAATATTTTGCTGTATAGATGTTGCATTCTGGTGAGAAGAAGCAGGCAATAGATTTAATAAACAGGAGTTAGAGGATGACAATAGATGAGGGGGATAACACAGTAGAATTGGAGTAGAGTAATAAGGGTGAAGATTGTCGGAAGGAAAGGGGCATGGAATTTAAAAGGGGCATGGAATTTAAAATGTCACATTCACCTTTGTCAGAATGTGACGTTTGAAAGGAACTTAAAGAAGATGAAGGAGTGAGCCATGAAAACATCTGGAGTATAGTGTTCCAGGCAGAGGGAACAGACAGTCATGCACCCTAGAACTTAAAGTATAATAATAATAATAATAATAATAATAATAATAAATCTTTGATGCTGGGACAGAGACGGCACATTTGAGAAAAAGTGAGAAAGCCATTGAGGCTAGGGCAGAAGGAAGGAGGAGGTCAGTGTGGTGAGTGTTAGGAGATAAGGTTCTTTAGGTAAGGGAGAGACAGATTACGGGTTTTAACTTGGAATAAATTGGGAGCCTTTACAGGGTTTTAAATACAGAAGCAACTTATTTATTTGTTTAATGGCCTACACTGGCTGTTGTATTGAAAATATACCATAGGGAACAAGGGTGTAGATGAGTTAGAAAGTGATGGCAATATTCTTGGCAGTAGATCATAGTGGTTTGAACAGAGTGGTAGCAGTGGAGGTGGGGAGAAGTGGTCAGATTCAGGATACATTTTGAAGGTAGGAAAATTGCAATTTTCTGAAATTTGGAAAAGTAGATAGGAAAGAAACAGGGTAGACTGATTCCAAATTTTTGACTTCAGATCCTGGAAGAGTAAAATCTTATTAACCAATATGGGGAATGAAAAAATCAATTTTTGGAACTGCAGATTAGGAATTCAACTTTAAACATGATTAGTTTTAATTACCTATTACTCCTCTCTTATTACAGCATATTAGCACCCGACCAAACTTAGTCATCTTCCATTAGTAGAATTTTTAAATCTGAAATAATAACCGGCAAACTAATAGATTTTTGGGAGTTTGTGAACCCATTAAAATTTTGCGTGTTTTTACATATGTACATATTCATATTTGAGAATTATCATTGCTGAGTTTATCAAGTTCTCAAAGAGCTTCATGAGTCAAAAAATTTGAGCCATTAATTATTTGCAGATAAAGAAATTAAGAAATGCAGTGTTTAGAAAATATGCACAACTTCATAGGATTGTATTTTTTTTTTTTTTTTTTTTTTTTTTGAGACGGAGTCTCGCTCTGTCGCCCAGGCTGGAGTGCAGTGGCGGGATCTCGGCTCACTGCAAGCTCCGCCTCCCGGGTTCACGCCATTCTCCTGCCTCAGCCTCCCAAGTAGCTGGGACTACAGGCGCCCGCCACTACGCCCGGCTAATTTTTTGTATTTTTAGTAGAGACGGGGTTTCACCGTTTTAGCCGGGATGGTCTCGATCTCCTGACCTTGTGATCCGCCCGCCTCGGCCTCCCAAAGTGCTGGGATTACAGGCGTGAGCCACCGCGCCCGGCCCATAGGATTGTATTTTAAGGACACAAGAATGTGTATGCAAATCTTGAGATGAAAAGAAGGGTGCAGTTGTCTTCAGCAAATTTTATTTCTCACTTCAACCAAGACAGTGGTAATGTCCTGTGTATCCCAAGATACGTGTGTATGTAAGGACTGTTAATCTGCTCTGCCACACTGTATTGCAACAAGTGAGGCTATCTATTGTTTCATGAAAGTTTTTCCTTCTTTTTTTTTTTTTGTTTTGAGACAGCGTATCTCTCTGTCACCCTTGCTGGAGTGCAATGGTGCAATCTCAGCTCACTGCAACCTCTGCCTCCTGGGTTCAAGCGATTCTCCTGCCTCAGCCTCCCAAGTAGCTGGGATTACAGCCGTGTACCACCACGCCTGGCTGATTTTTAGTAGAGACAGGATTTTGCTATGTTGGTCAGGCTGGTTCTGAACTCCTGGCCTTGAGTGATCCTCCTGCCTCAGCCTCCTAAAGTGCTGGGATTACAGGTGTGAGCCACCGCACCTGGCACGTAACAATTTCTATAAGAGATTTTAGCAAATTGGAATCATGGAAGTTTGGTGCTGAGAATAGGATCAACCAAAATTTTCAGATGGGTGAATTGTGTTCCTGAGATGAGGTATTACTTTCCTAAATCATACAGTGATTAGTGTCAGGGATATGTACCAAATATTGGACCCCACAATCCTAAACCCTATAACTCCTTTGCCAAGTTACATGGAAATAGTTGACAAAAATATTAAATTCTAGGATTTTAGCAAGATACTGGACGATACCACTATTCTGGCTGAAATTGCTTATTTGTATAAACTTAGTCTATTTATTTATGTTTTGCAAGCTCAGAATTTATAATTAAGTTAGATAATTATCCTCCCATTCAGAATAATGATAGTTAAAATTTTGTAGATTGATGTTCTGTCCAGAAAATGGGCTGTTTTCTTAACATGGATGTTTTCTCGCCCTTTTGGAGGTAAATACACGTAGGTGGGGAATTGTTAAGATACTTTTCCAAGATTATGGAACTACCAAGTAAGAAGGTCTGGGTTTGAACTCAGATGCCATATCACTTGGGCAATTCTGCCTATGCCAGACCTGTCTTTTCTCACCTGGGCGTGCTCATGTCTGTGGGTAGCTCTTAGCGCCACTGTAGGCTGGATCATATAGAAGGGCCCCACCTGCATGTTTGGGGGACAACTTGCAGTCAGCTGGGGTGACAGAGTGAGCGCAGCCAGATGTCTTATCCAGCAAACTAACCCAGGCTTATTTACATGGTGGTGGTAGGATTTTAAAAGTGAGAAGAGAAACATAAAAAGCTTCTTGAAATCCAGGCTTTGAATCCACATGGAGCTGCCTATCTTTCAATCTATTGGCCAAAGCAAACCACCAAGCCATCCAAGACTCAAGGGGTTAGGTATAAGACTTAGAATAGTAACTGGTACATGGTCATAATGTATTTATATTTGTAATATAAATAGCAACTTTAATAATCTAATACTTAACAATACAAATACTTGACACGTAAGAAGTTTTCAATAACTTATAGAAAGATAGTGAAATTTTTTGAGTGCCCACTAATGTACCCAATATTGGGCTGTGTTATTTTTATGTATGTTTTATTTATTCAATCAGACAGTCTGTCAAGAAGTTACTAGTCGGCCAGGTGCGATGGCTCACGCCTGTAATCCCAGCACTTTGGGAGGCTGAGGCGGGTGGATCACCTAAGGTCAGGAGTTTGAGACGAGCATGGCCAACATGGTAAAACACCATTTTTAGTAGAGTTGGTGTGGTGGTAGGTGCCCGTAATCCCAGCTACTCAGGAGGCTGAGGCAGGAGAATTGCTTGAACCTAGGAGGCAGAAGTTGCAGTGAATGGAGATCACGCCACTGTATTCCAGCATGGGTGACAGAGTGAGATTCCATCTCAAAAAAAAAAGAAGAAGTAATTAGTTATCCTTGTGAGTTTCATTTTTTTTTCATGTTTGATGAGAATATGGGTCTTGTCCTGCATTAAATAGTTAATAAATAAAATTCCTAATTTTCAAATTATTTTTGACTCCAATTCCAGTAATTTTTCCAAATCATGGACTGAAGTCCTATAATTCTAGATAGTAAGGGAGAAAAATCTACAAGCTTCTTAGTAATTGTTGATTTAATTGATACCCTTGTCAACTTGTGTGAATAGAAAAAACACTAAGTGATGATTTTCCCTTCTCATGATAGTCAGGCTTTCACCTCCGTGGACATGGAAGTGGGAAATTGCACCATCCTGACTGAATTCATCTTGTTGGGTTTCTCAGCAGATTCCCAGTGGCAGCCGATTCTATTTGGAGTGTTTCTGATGCTCTATTTGATAACCTTGTCAGGAAACATGACCTTGGTTATCTTAATCCGAACTGATTCCCACTTGCATACACCTATGTACTTTTTCATTGGCAATCTGTCTTTTTTGGATTTCTGGTATACCTCTGTGTATACCCCCAAAATCCTGGCCAGTTGTGTCTCAGAAGATAAGCGCATTTCCTTGGCTGGATGTGGGGCTCAGCTGTTTTTTTCCTGTGTTGTAGCCTACACTGAATGCTATCTCCTGGCAGCCATGGCATATGACCGCCATGCAGCAATTTGTAACCCATTGCTTTATTCAGGTACCATGTCCACCGCCCTCTGTACTGGGCTTGTTGCTGGCTCCTACATAGGAGGATTTTTGAATGCCATAGCCCATACTGCCAATACATTCCGCCTGCATTTTTGTGGTAAAAATATCATTGACCACTTTTTCTGTGATGCACCACCATTGGTAAAAATGTCCTGTACAAACACCAGGGTCTACGAAAAAGTCCTGCTTGGTGTGGTGGGCTTCACAGTACTCTCCAGCATTCTTGCTATCCTGATTTCCTATGTCAACATCCTCCTGGCTATCCTGAGAATCCACTCAGCTTCAGGAAGACACAAGGCATTCTCCACCTGTGCTTCCCACCTCATCTCAGTCATGCTCTTCTATGGATCATTGTTGTTTATGTATTCAAGGCCTAGTTCCACCTACTCCCTAGAGAGGGACAAAGTAGCTGCTCTGTTCTACACCGTGATCAACCCACTGCTCAACCCTCTCATCTATAGCCTGAGAAACAAAGATATCAAAGAGGCCTTCAGGAAAGCAACACAGACTATACAACCACAAACATGAAGGTTATTCTCTTTGCAAATGCTGTTATTGAATTTTCCAGATTATTGGCTTATAAATGTGTTCATTTGCATTTCTGTAGTTCAATTAAGTTCAATAAGTCATATTTAAAACATTAAAATATTGACCACATGACTCCTTGTTATTCGTTTGTTATGATGTAAACAAAACAAAGTAATATTTAAAACTTATAATATTGGGTTGTTTGGCATTCTGCAATATGGTATTTTGCCTTGGCAGCATTAAATCTTTCATAGATTTCATTGTGTTTGCTCCCTTTGGGAGATCTTGGGGAACAAAATAAATTACGTGGGTTAATGAATATAGTTTGACTTTGAAGTTTGGTAAGCAATCTTTACTAGGTGACAAGAATATCTGAAAGGGTGAGGCTTCTGGAAATATGCTCAAGATTTTACAAATATTTATTTTAAGAAAATCATTTCCTCAAAATTTCTTCAGAAAGCTCTAATTGAGCATATAGGGAGTATCTTTGTAAAACTCATGCCTTCTACATAAAGAGAATATTAGGAAGATGTTTAAGAGTTGTTCAGATTACAAACAACAATGACAACAAAAAACTATCTCAAAATTAATGAATAAATATGTGTCTTTAGAATTGCATATCATCCTAACAGTCTTCTCTCTTACAAGGAGTGAGTACTCCGCAGTACTCTCTCTCAGGTCACACAGCGATGTGACAACATCAAACGAAATAAAACAAATGAACAACAATAGTAACCACTGTTCCCTAGTTACCTTTCTCTTTCCTTTGTCCTGACCAAAAGACATAAGCTGCATGTTTGTCCCTGGCCTGAACCTAGCCTGGGCCTTGAACATTCCTAAGAACTGGTAAACTTGTTTAGATCGATGCCTGAAACCCTGAAAAATCAAACATGTTGCTAACCACATGGAAACTAGCCTTGGCCTCGAGCCCAATTCCCTAAACCCTGATATAAACTCCATAACTGAACCCCCTTGTGATGGCAGGTTGGGTTGATATTTCATTTAGTAGCCTTTAGAAGATGGCAAGTTAAGGATTAATGGTTACAATTTTCAAATCACAAGCTTGCAGCTCAGAGGTTAGCAACTTTGTTGAGGAAAGGTTATAACATTTGCTGGAATTAGCACATTTAAAAAATTAATTAAATTTTGAAAATTTAGGACAAATAGTTGTAGCCATTTCATTTGTCTTTACTTGACATTTCTCAACTTTCTCTTCAGCTGCATTTATTTTCCAACACATCCTACCTCTTTCCATCAAAATAATCTTAACATTCTTATTCCTCTATCACAAAGGAAGCTGTTTGAGTACTTGACTAGAAGGATTTGGGGTGTATCCCGCAAATATCAATGATCCATATTATGTTTTCTTTTCATCTCCATAATAGTCACTATGTAGGAAAAATAATTGGGTCAATATTATGGGAAAGAACATCGTAAAAATTTAATTTCACTTTAGGATATCAGAATAATTACTTTTCCATTTTGCATTAATCGGAGATACTGAATTTTAAAAACTGTATCAGTATTCAATTGAATCTACAATACTGTAGTATATATTATAGTCTGATCTCAAAATCATAACAAACAAACGAAACACAAAGAAACACAATTTTTCTTGTTGAATTTTGTTCAATGGTAAAAAAGAAATAAAAATCCAGTTCTGTAACCTCTCTGAGCAGTTTGTCATCACTTAGCATTGATTTGAGAACATTATGGCAATTCAGACTTTGGATTATGCTGACTTGAAGAATTTTTTCAGAGCGTCTTTCATGTCTTTATTCCTCAGACTGTAGATCATGGGATTCAACATGGGGAACAGCATAGTATAAAAGGTAGAAACCATTTTGTCCCTCTTGAGGGAGTAGCTGGAACTTGGCCGGGAGTAGTTGTAGAGAATGGAGCCATAGTATAAGGTAACGGAGATCAGGTGGGAGGAGCATGTGGAGAAGACTTTGATGCGGCCCTGGGTAGAGTGGATCCTCAGGATGGTGGTGATGATGGAGAGGTAAGAGGCAAGGATGAGCACAGTAGGGGAGATGACATTGGAGGCCAGAAGGAAGTGCAGCACAGCCTGGTAGCTCTCACACTGCATGCCAGCTTCACGAGGGGTGGGACATCACAGAAAAAGTCATCAATGACATTGTCACCACAAAAATCCAATGTGAATGTGTTGCTGGTTAATATTATTGCATTGACAAAACCCCCAGTATAGGAATATAAAACCAAACAGATGCACAATCTCCTTGGCATGGTCTGAGCATAAAGCAGGGGCTTGGAGATGGCCACGTAGTGGTCATAAGCCATGGCAGCCAGTAGGTAGCACTCACTATAGGCCAGCCTGGCAGAGAAGAACTGACACAGGCAGCCAGCAAAGGAGATGCTTTTGTCTTCAGAGATGCAGGTCACTAGGATCTTTGGGGTGTAGACAGAAGAATACCAGAGATCCAGAAATGACAGATTTCCAATGACAAAATACATGGGTGTGTGTAGGTGGGAGTCATTACAGATCAACACGATGAGGGTGCTACTTCCTACCACAGTCAGACAGTACACACCCAGGAACACCACAAAGAGGCCCAGTTGCATCCCTGGATCTGTGGTGAAGCCCAGCAGGATGAACTCAGTCACTGTGTGATTGCTCCTCTGCATGGCTTATGGATACCACGCCTACAAATAGAGTAGAAAAGAGTTTAATTGCCTCAACCGATACCAAATGATGGCATTTTCTATGCTAAGCACCTGACATATAATCAACACTAAGCATAAATTTTGGCTGCCTTGGGCAGGTGATGGGAGTTTTCTGAGCTTCAATATATTTATTGCAATAAAATGCATTTGATAACAGAAAAGCCTTAATTGAAATGTTTATTAATTTTTTCTTGAAAAACAAAATATTTATTGAGCCCTGTGTGCTATTCCAGACAGTGGGATATAGCGGTGAAGATGATAGGGCTGACTCCTATCCTACTGAGCTTTTATTCTAGAAGGGAGAGTTACATAAAAAAACAAATAGGTACAGTGTCAATTAATGTTAAATGCTAATAACAAAATAAAACTAGATGATGGGATAAAAACAAACTAGGAAAGAGCTCAACTAATGTAGACACTGAGAGAAAAAAAAAATCCTTTTCCTGTTCCCAGCTATGGATGGACAAATTATTCAGAGCCTATGAAAACTGGGAAGGACCCTATGGTTTAGAAGGTGGTAACACTGTATTTTTCCACAACCACAGAAAAAATTATCTGCTTAGTTACTCTGTAGGAGTCTTTGGTACATTTATCATAAATTCCAGGGAAGGAATCAGGTTGAGAATTAGTGCGAAGCTCAGGTAAAGACCAATGAATTTATCTGTTTCTGCCAAGTAAAAAATGTGTGATGTTTTTATGGGTATTTGGGGTATAAAATGTTGAGACTCAGCATTATCTCTCAGCCTCTATAACTAGCCATGAACATAGTACTTAAAAGGACAGTTAGCCCAAGTCGATATTGTCTATAGCAATAGTTCTGAATGCTATCACATTGGAAAAATCTTCTTGTCAAACAAACATTTAGAAATGCTTCCTTTAGATTCTTGAAATAATATGTGTAGTTAATGTAACCTAAGTATAAACATGTATATATGTGTATGTAAACTATCCTAAGTCTAATGTAAAAGAGATATGAAAGAAAAATAATTCATAATACAATTATTATATGAAATAATTATAATATAGGATTTATTATAAAATAATTTGAATATTCAATATATAAATGCTGGATCACTTGGTGGGACATAGATAGTAAAATCAACACACGTAGAATCATCATTAATGTGTTGGTGACTCAAATATCAGGAGTCACATTGACATTGGTGATGTTTTCCTGACAAGTTGGTCAAGTCTTGATGAAGTTTCAAACAAAATAAATGACAATCTTTCCTTGGTTTTATTAAATTGTTATATAGGAGAACCTTGCAAAATATGTTTTCTTTGTCTGTAGAGCAGAGTAGATTTCAAACTGATGTAATTATAACAATATTTTCTAATGCACAAATACGCATTGGGAGTCTGGATGTAGTGAGTGCAACATTTTTCTTTGCATAAGGCTGTCCCTATGGATGCAGGATGTGTTCATACTTGTCTACTAAATACTAAATATCCAGTAGTCCTCTTATCTTTGTGATAATAATAAATCCAACCACACACTTAAGAAATGCCCTTCAATGATAGACTGGATAAAGCAAATGTGACACATATACACCATGGAATACTATGTATCCATAAAAAAGAATGAGCTCATGTTCTTTGCAGGGACATGGATGAAGCTGGAAGCCATCATTGTTGGTAGACTAACACAGGAAGAGAAAATCAAACACCACATGTTCTCACTCATAAGTGGGAGTTGAACAACGAGAACACATGGACACAGAAAGGGGAACATCACACACTGGGGCCTGTTGGGGGTTGGAGGGCAAGGGGAGGGAGAGCATTAGGACAAATACCTAATGCATGTGGGGCTTAAAACCTAGATGACGGGTTGATAGGTGCAGCAAACCACCACGGCACATGTATTCCTAGGTAAGACAAACCTGCACGTTCTGCACATGTATCCCAGAACTTAAAGTAAAATAAAGAAAAAAAAAGAAAGGAAAAGAAAACCCAGCAGCTATAAGCACACACAAAACACAAGTTTTGGTAACTAAATACCATTTTTCCACTGGAAGGACCCAGAACTCCTTGAAACTCCCAAGTTTTGGTCAAGGATTGCATAAGATGAGTCTGGGACATCTTGTGGCAGAAACTAAGAAAATATTCAAAAATTATAGGGACATGTTTAAATGACCCAGAAGCTAGCTTGAAGAAGTTTCCACTGGGTGCATTTTAGACAATTTCATATTAAAAGTATAATGACCATAATTGAATAAAACATATTGAATATAAAATAAAGAAAGAACCACTCTTTAAAGGATGTTTTCATTTATTGAGACTCCACTACTTCAAAACTTTGCATTTTACTTTATGCATCTTCATAGGCTTTTCCAGGAATTGTGTAAAGAAATGCAAAATAACTGGAAAATGTTGCTAAATGGTCAAATTACCTGTGGCAGTACGTACAGCTCTCTATTTACTTTTTTTTACTGGGTCACTGGGGTAAAGCGGAGATAGAAGCCCATAGTGTAGAGCAAGGATTTTTGTTTCTGTTGCATGTTACATATCTCCACTTCTTAGAATAGTACCTGGCACATAATAGATGTACAATAAATATTTATGGAATAAACAAATGGGTAACCCCGACTCAGAAGACAAACAAGTCAAGAGAATTGATATTCTGGGTGTCCTCTAATGATGTCATTATACCCTAAAACCACTACAGAATTGTTTGGTATTCCACATTCATTTCCCAGCACCAGCAATCCCAGGTCATTTGTGTATTTTGCAGACAGATGCAGGGACAAACAAAGAAATCAGTCCACAATATAGTCAGCCTAAACAAATATTTGTTTTCCCAAAAGGAGTGTCTGTGAAGAAATTGTTTTTCATCTGAGCAACAGATTGCCTGTCATTATATGTCATGACGTTTAGGAAGCATGCCTAAGAAATCAGAGCTGACTGCTCACACTAGAGACAGATGGGATATCCTTGAAAAAGCATTTGTCTTTCAACAACTAAGAAGGATTCAAGTTCTCCATCACTAGTCAACAATGTAAAGCCTCAATTTCTTCATATGTAACATAGGGATAATTCATCTCTTTTTAGGGTTGTTTAAAGGAGTTTACTCAAGTAAGGACTACATACAGTGCCTAGCATGTTATAAACACTCAAGTAACAAATTGTTCTCAAATTCTTTGCACCTAAGAGCGCCCCAGTGTTTCTAACTTAGGAGGTTGCAGGTCAGCCCCCAGGAATCTGCTTTCATTAAAGCAGCCCAAGCGCTTGTAATGTGGGTTGTTTGTAGATTATGTTGAGAAATACTAAAATGAATATCGGTTGCATTTATAAAAGTTTCCGGAATCAAAATGAAGTCACTAGTGTTAAATAAAAACAAGTGACAAATATGGCTGGGCATGGTGGTTCATGCCTTTAATCCCAGAACTTTGGGAGGCTGAGGCAGGAGGGTCTCTGCAGCCCAGGAGTTCATAAACAGTGTGGGCAACACGGTGGGACCATGTCTCTATAATTAATAAATACATACATACATAAAAAATAATTTAAAAAGAGCCAGCGGAGGGAATTAAGAGAGGTTTCTCATGCTTGTATTCCTGATAAAACTATCATAAAAGACTGCAAAAACTACACCTTGCACAAAGGTCATCACAACTTTACAGAAAAAGAGTACTTCTGCAAGGACACCTGCCCAGAAACTGCCTGTCCAGCCAAGCATCGACCGTGCCATGGACCGCCTGCTACTCCTGGGTGCTGGAGAATCTGGTAAAGGCACCAATGTGAAGCAGATGAGGATCCTACATGTTAATGGGTTTAATGGAGAGGACACTGAAGAGGACCTGCAGGCTGCAAGGAGCAACAGAGATGGAATATATTACCCCTGGATGATGGCTACAGTTTCTCATCTTCCTGGCTATGTCCTCTCACAATTCGCATGCTGGAATTGCTAGGTCTTAGGAACTCCTAGTAAGAATACTATTCTGTTGTCTGGAAGGGAGCGGGGATGGGGCTCCTACTTCCTGACCTTGAATTATGATTGAAAAAAATAATAAAAAATGGACTGAAATCCTTAATTGGTAAAAATGTAGTATGACAATTATCCAAAAAATCATCTATATAAGAAATGACTAATTGACAAGCTAAGGTACCAAAAGTTGGCATTTGAGCAAAATATGACAAGTCCTTAGTGAGCAACCTACTGTGTACTAAATGTTGTGCGAAACCCTTGAACCCCACTAATACCTTGCCTGCATATCTCTCTGTGACTCTGTTCTGCAAGTAAATATAAGTATTAACATTTGTGATAAATAAAAATTCTCTGCATGTTTCAGCAAAACCAACAAACAACAAAACAACAACAACAACAACAAAAAACAGGTATCACCCTTGTCATCAATCTATGTAGCCAAAGATTATTATTTCAAAATAATCACATAATTCTCATTTTTAAAAAAATCTTTGTCTTCCATTACCTCCCCGAATATGCATACGGTTTACTGTGGCATTTGTATTCCCACAGCAACACTCTATTCTCAGATAAACCTATTTTTCTTTTAGATAGCCTCTCTGTGTTTGTTATTTAGGTTGACATATATGGTGTCACAAATAGAACCCGAAAAAGATAATGATCCAAAGAAACTGGTGATTCTTGAACTGATGTGCAGTGCTCACTTGAGGCCCTTGTGCTTTCCTCCACTTCCTTGGCTCACTTTTCTGCCCTGATGAGTCTTCTCTTAGGCTGAGCCTGCCTCTTTTAGTAGAGGCTTTTTTATATTAGTCAGGATCTTTTTTTTTTTTATAAAGTCACCTAATAAGGGACTATGCATCCCTCCTGGGGTGATAAAATACTTTTTGTCTTTTGTGGTATATCTTTTCTGGTGTAAAGACATGTGTCTTTCTGGATTGAGTACTCTGGTTCTACAGAATTTACATTCTATCTAGAAGGCATGTCTTTTGCGGTGAATTCACTTTTGGTCTCTGTGCTTAGTTGAATATTTTGTTTGATCTCTACGCCGAGGTTGAAATTTTTATGAATGCTCTTATCTTGGTTTCTTTTGATTTGGTTTGATTCTTTTCCCTTGCTTTTTAAAAAATTATTCTGAAAGCAAAAATATATTCCAAATGTTGGGTGCAGAAAGGTTAATTAAAAGCCATTAGTGCAATTGCTACCATCTAAAACACTGCTCTAAACTCCTGACATTTCCTGATAGGAATGATAATATTTTCTTTGCTCTCAAGAGATGAGTAAGAAACAGAATGGGTTTTTTAAACATAAAGGCATGACAGGTTTTTGGGACTCCAGCTAGCCACATTTTATGGCTCATGCTTATGCACATTTTAAAATTGACAAGCAATGTTACATCAAGAAAAATTCAGAGCTCAAATGTTCATTATTTAAACTCTTTTAGAGATCTGCAACTACCATGCTAAGCATGTAGAGACTTCTAAGTTCACTGTCTCTCTTTCTTGTTTTTTCTTACTGCCTACTTTGAATCTGCTGACTTTTCTACTGGGGTTGACATAAAACTCACCGCTTGTGGCATTCTAGTCAAGACTTTTTTAAAAGTATTAAAGGGCTTTTAAATTAATAGCTTCACAAATTACAAGAGCTCCATGGTAACCAACAACCTAGACACCATTAGAAAATGTAAATTTAGGTTTACCTGACTAAAATTTGTTTATGGTGATGAAATAATTTATTGAAAAATTAATAATCTATAAAAAGAGCTAGATAAATATGTATAAATGTTAGGCTCTCAGGTCTAACAGGTCAAAATCTTGAACTCTAAACAATATAAATCATCTTTGTCTGGCATAAAAAATTTGCTTTTTCTGCCACACAAAGACTAACCCCCCAGCCCCTGCGAAAAAAACAACAAATCCTGCTAAAATTCTTTCTTGTCTCCATTTGTTAATCAAGCAAAACAGACCTGCAAAAAAAATTAAAATAAAATAAAAAAAGATAGATTTGTTACTAGTTCAACACTGGAGATTTTGTTTTTATAATACAATTCAACCAGTCCTAGCTACAATGTAAACAATTGAAAATTTAACTCTAAACTCATTTGAGACTGAATAAATAAAATATAAATGTTAAAGAGGCTAAGAAAAACAAACAAACCAACAAACAACAATAAAACCCAAGCTACTATATAAATTGCTTCACCCAAATTTTGGTCTGCAGCCTTCATTAGATTACATATTGAGGAAAGTTATCACATCTTTGTGTGTGCATATATGTGTTTAGGTGCGTATATGTGTATGAACATGTATTATGTGGCACGTTGTTTCTACATGGTAAAATCTGGCATAGTTGGCAAAAAATTTCTTATTTTTATTTTTATTTTTTGAGATGGAGTCTTACTCTGTCACCCAGACTGGACTGCAGTGGCACTATCTCAGCTCACTGCAACCTCTGCCTCCTGGGTTTAAGCGATTCTCCTGTCTCAGCCTCCTGAGTAACCCTCCTGGGATTACAGGCACGTGCCGCCACCACTCCTGGTTAATTTTTGTATTTTTAGTAGAGATGGGGGTTCACCATGCCAATTGGTCAGGCTGGGTCTTGAACTCCTGACCTCGTGATCTGCCTTCCTTGGCCTCCCAAAGTTCTAGGATTACAGGTGTGAGCCACTGTGCCCTGCGGCAAAAAATTTCTTAAGGAATTCTATTCACATATCTTAGATAAATGAGCACTCATAAAAAATGTATAATAACCCAAATGCTTTTTAGTTCATGTGACTTAAGTACGTCTTTAATAAATAAGCTGGTTTTAAAATTATCAGGAAATTGTCAACATATGTTTTTGCCCAGGTGTACTGGTAGAATTTTATATTTGTCTTTGCTAGATGTTTTAGGGTGTTGGGGTTTGACCCAAAGGTTATAAAACTATAAACTCAGCCTAAAACAGAATAATCTTTGTCAACTCTTTGATAATTAAGGCTAGTTTAATAATGTTTGTTTAGTAAAAATAGCTATATCTTCTAAGTTATAAGCAAAATATTCATATAATTTAAGATTTCTACTTAGGTGCATGCCTGATATTCATAAGTTATACAAATAGGAAAATAACTAGAAATGATGATTAGCTTTATTTCATATCTCAATTTTCATAACTAATCTATGTAAACTGTAAAAAATTGAATAAATTAGATAATAGAAATGAGGTAAATGTCTGTAAATATAGTTTTCATGTAATTTGAAATCTTAAAGTTATATTATATTGATTTAAATGATATTCATTAAATGTCTGAGTCATTTCCAAATAATATCATAAAACAAAATTCTGACCATAAATATAAGTTTCTTTTCTTGGATTCTAAAATAATATAGAAAGACTAAATAGATTTGGTTCCATGAATATACGTAAAATTCTGTTATAGAAAAACATGTTTTTAAAAATTATAAAGATTTTCATATATAAAATACTGATATGACAGATAATTCAAGATTTCTGGCTTCCTAGGTTTTCACTAAATTTAAGGTTATTAAATTAAAAATACTAATTAATACCTCTAGAACTATAATATAAATTCTCTCAAAAAAGTAAGACGTGTTTTAATAAAAAATTATAAGAAAGGCATAAAAGCATATTCTTTATCAAGAAAAAAAGAATAATTTTGCATAATTTAGAGTTACTTAAAGGTTTTTTTTGCAAAATATAAATTTAACAAGTATAAAACAATAGGCTACAATGTGATGGAAAAGTACCAGTAAGTAGGAGAGAGACAGAGATAGGAAAAAAGTTATGGGTATGAAAATATATTTTTGCAAAACAAGTTGAAAAGAAGATAATTTTGTATGAGAAAAAATATTTTGTGGTAACTTTTTGTTCTAAAGTAAAATGACTGGTTATTTAAGAAAGATTAAGTATAAGACATAACAGAAAGTTTAAGCATGCTGTAAATGGTCTGAGTAGGTATGGTGTTTGTGAAAGGGGGAATTTATAAAAGAAATTTTGTATGTGATCAAGTTGGCTATAATTTAAAAAAAATTATGACTGTCTATAAAATGAGACTTAACATTGAAAATATACTAACATTAAACTAAAAAATTTGGTCCCCTATATTAGAAAAAGATTTTCTTAATATATTGATTTGCTCTTAGTAAGACTGCAAAAATTTTTGATTTTTAATTCTGAAACATGTTTTTCTTAATGGTGATATTCTAAACTACAGACAATTTCTATTTCTGCCATATTTCTTCCTGAGATCTATTTAATTTCTCTAGTTTTAGTTTTGAAATGCTGTCTTTTTCATCCAGAATTGTACTTTTATTTTTGGAGGTAAATTTTTTCTGGAAACATTTCAGATTTATGTCTCAGAAGTTTAACTTTTGCTGTATCTTGCTGCATATAATTGGCAGGTCCTGAATCATTGTCTTCAGCTCTCTTTCTTCCCTTAAAAATGTGTGGGTTTGTTGTTGTTGTTGTTGTTGTTTGTTTTTTTGCTTGGCTGGAGTGATAGCTCTTTCTTTCAACCTTTTCATCAACTCTTTTTCTTCCTGGTTCTAACACTGTTATAGCCTGATGCTGAAATACTTATCTTAAAGGCCTAGAAAACCAATGTTTTCCCTCAGTATAATTTGATTTTATACTTTAGGTTTTTCTTGCTGTGTGTGAATTGTGACCAGGAAACTTTCCACGTTGTTACTAAGAGCCAGGTATTCCTCTGTTCAAGATATTAGTTTTCTTGTTTACATTCCTCTATAATATAGCATAACCTTACAACCTGGACACACTCCTCCTGTGTCTGGTTAAATTCAGGTGCCCTTTTCATCAGGTTTGACTTCCAGGTTATCTAAATGAGCTTCCCTTAAGGAAAAACAATGAAACTGCAGTACGTTTATCTTTACCTTTTTAATAACTGGCTTTATAAAAAATAAAGATTTAAAATTTTATAAAGATAATTTCCTGTGTTGTCTTTATTAAATTTTTGATTACTTAGAAAAACTGAGCTTTAACAGGGTTAAGGTTCTTACACCCATGTAACTTTCTGCATTTATTTTGAAGTCTTTTGATTATTACTCTGGTTAATGACTGATATTTTACAGAGACCTGTGATTCTGTTTTGATCAAGTCTTTTGAACCTTTGACATCTGGTAGGCTTCCCTCAGGTCAAAATCCTAAATTAAATCTTTTGACCTAGAATTAACTTAGAGATTTTCAGTTAAGTCCTTGGAGAGACTTAAAGAATGTATCTCTCATTTTGTAGAAATATTAAATGATTAGGCTTATTTGGTAAATTAAAGAACTGTCAAATGATAAATGATACTAGATTTTCTTTCAGTTACATTTATAGATATATTATTGTCTAATTTTTTCAAAAATTATATACATGCTACATTTAATGTTATGAGTCATAATTTTGTTTGTTATGTTAAATCTTTTCTAAAGTTATGTGTGTGTGATATGTTATTAATGTGAGTGTTCTAAAGATTATATAAAATTTATAAAAGTCTACGAGTTCTGATGTGATGCTATCAGTTATGGTTCTTGTTGTCATCTTAAAATGTACATAAATAGGCTGGGCGCAGTGGCTCACGCCTGTAATCCCACCACTTTGGGAGGCCGAGGTGGGCGGATCACCTGAGGTTGGGAGTTCAAGACCAGCCTGACCAACATGGAGAAACCCCGTCTCTACTAAAAATACAAAAAAATTAGCCTGGCATGGTGGCCCATGCTTGTAATCCTACCTACTCAGGAGGCTGAGGCAGGAGAATCGCTTGAACCCGGGAGGCAGAGGTTGCAATGAGGGGATATCATGCCATTGCACTCCAGGCTGGGCAACAAGAGCAAAACTCCGTCTCAAAAAAAAAAAAAAAGTACATAAATACAAATAACTAAATTAAAATCCCTTGTCAATTGTGAATTCTCATTACATTTTTAACCATGGATATTCTAAGTTTTTGTCATCCACAGTTGTTTTGAATCTTCTGTAAAATCATTTGTAGTCACCTATATTGCTTTTCATGGAAAAGACTATAACGAGTACTCTTGAACATAGATTTCTGATACCCTTATGATTGAAAGACAAAAATCAAAATGTTCAGAGCTCTAACAAAGAAACGGATGAGTTCATGAAGCAGTTAATCAAGATGAAGCAAAACAAAAAATTAATTATATAAAATTAAATAATCGATGGTAATGTTTTCAGAACTTATTTAAATAATTGTTGATTCTTTACTTAAACAATTTGTTTTCTGGGTTTAAGGACATTTTCTTTCATACACTATCTATAGTTTGTAACAATTCGGTAAAGTATATTTTTGTGAACAAAGGTGGAAGCATTTGATTTTTCTCCGTACTTGATTCCTCCAATATTTGGAAACTATTCATGAGTATACTTATTGCTTTATAACAATAGGATTGTTAACATACATTCAATAAAATTTTGTTTCCTCTTTTTAAGAGAATAAAATTGGAAACATTGGTTATATTGTCAAGGTTTTGACTAAAGTAAAATATTTGAGAATGAACTTTAAATGCTTGGCCTCATAGGGTTTTCATCCTTACAGTAAATAAATAATAATTGTCACTTCCTGGCAGGCCTAGGAACCTTAAGAATGGAAGTAAAATGTAAAGCCTACCTTGGTTTGGCTTCCTAGCCTCAATAAGGTTTCAACTTGGAGATTTTTATGTCATCAATACAGAAAGAAAACATTATGATTCTAAAAAAAAAAGCTATAATAAACATTAGATTATAGTCATATGCATTGCTTTCAAGTTCTTGTTATCCACCTGTTAACTAGATTAGATCCTGAATGTATAGAGAAAAATTGTTTCTAAAGAAAATTATAATACACTTGTTATTAGATTGTGGTTCTGTGCATTACTTTTAAGTTCTTATTACGTATCTATAGACAGGATTAGAACCTGAATTCTCCTCCAATATTTGGCTACAATTAACAACAAAACCTGATTTTTTCCTAAAGCCTTATAAGCTGAAATGAGATGAATTTTAAGGGACAAGAATTGTGTCTGATGTGTGGGCCACCCAAAAAGTTTACCAAGCTACATGATGTCATGACCAGAGACATTCTAACCAGGAGGAGAAATTCACATTTTTTTTTTTTTTTGGTCACTGTATACAGCTTTCCTAAAGAAATCAGAATGACTCCATGTCATAATAAGACTCTTACTCCTCTTAATGCTACCTTTCTTACTTGGCGAAATAATAGTGTAATTAAAGTTTTACAATCAGTAGTTTATGCTGGTATCTTAACAAAACCTAATACAAGAAATTATTTATTATCCACTGGTTAAATAAGAAAATGTCTGTGCTATTGCTAATATTACATTATGTACTTGGATAAACTCCTCCGGGGAAGTTGGGACCCACATATGCAAAATAAGAAAACAGGCCATCTGATTACAACAGATCTCACCTAATTCTCTAATGTCATTTGCTTTATTCAGTTGGTTGCCTTTAAGCCTGGGTTTATGACTGAAAACTATTATATAAACTGGAATTGTGATATTACTATTAATTTTACTTTGTATTTTCCTTTTTTAAACTTTGTAGCTGTTACTTCTTAAATATGTGTGGAAGTACAACTCCTAAGGATATAATGTTGGCCCAGCACTTTGGTATGGTTGCAAAAGACTACAGAACAGAGAAAATTCAACTTAATAATAAACTCCAGGTAGACTCAGTCTGTGTCCCACTCCCTTCAAACTTCCCTTGTTGCTCAGTGTGGCTAAAGAGGTTTTAACACTGACTGCTAGTCACCAAACTCTCCCCCTAAGGTGGGATGAGACCAGCCCAGGCATAGGTCCATTCCAGCACGAAGGGATATCAAAATCTAGCTACATGATTATTGTTCAGTGATGCCTTTGGAGAAAGTCTTGATCAAAAGGGAGAAAATATGAAAGTTGTCAGAATCAAAATGGAGTCACTAATATAAAAAAAAAAAAAACTCACAAAGCGAGCTGGGGAAAGCATGAAGAGAGGGTTCTCAAGATTGTATGCCTGAGAACAAAACCATCACAAAAGATTCTGCAAAAAATAACAGGCTTGCACCAAGTCCATCACAACCTTGCATAAAAAGTATTTCTGCAATTATAACAAACTATCTCTCAGACCACAGTGCAATCAAACTAGAACTCAGGATTAAGAATCTCACTCAAAACTGCTCAACTACATGGAAACTGAACAACCTGCTCCTGAATGACTACTGGGTACATAACGAAATGAAGACAGAAATAAAGATGTTCTTTGAAACCAACGAGAACAAACACACAACATACCAGAATCTCTGGGACGCATTCAAAGCATATGTAGAGGGAAATTTATAGCACTAAATGCCCACAAGAGAAAGCAGGAAAGATCCAAAATTGACACCCTAACATCACAATTAAAAGAACTAGAAAAGCAAGAGCAAACACATTCAAAAGCTAGCAGAAGGCAAGAAATAACTAAAATCAGAGCAGAACTGAAGGAAATAGAGACACAAAAAAATCCTTCAAAAAATTAATGAATCCAGGAGCTGGTTTTTTGAAAGGATCAACAAAATTGATAGACTGCTAGCAAGACTAATAGAGAAAAAAAGAGAGAAGAATCAAATAGACACAATAAAAAATGATAAAGGGGATATCACCACTGATCCCACAGAAATACAAACTACCATCAGAGAATACTACAAACACCTCTACGCAAATAAACTAGAAAATCTAGAAGAAATGGATAAATTCCTCGTCACATACACTCTCCCAAGACTAAACAAGGAAGAAGTTGAATCTCTGAATAGACCAATAACAGGATCTGAAATTGTGGCAATAATCAATATCTTACCAACCAAAAAGAGTCCAGGACCAGATGGATTCACAGCCGAATTCTACCAGAGGTACAAGGAGGAGTTGGTACCATTCCTTCTGAAACTATTCCAATCAATAGAAAAAGAGGGAATCCTCCCTAACTCACTTTATGAGGCCAGCATCATTCTGATACCAAAGCCTGGCAGAGACACAACCAAAAAAGAGAATTTTAGACCAATATCCTTGATGAACATTGATACAAAAATCCTCAATAAAATACTGGCAAAACGAATCCAGCAGCACATCAAACAGCTTATCCACCATGATCAAGTGGGCTTCATCCCTGGGATGCAAGGCTGGTTCAATATATGCAAATCAATAAATGTAATCCAGCATATAAACAGAGCCAAAGACAAAAACCACATGATTATCTCAATAGATGCAGAAAAAGCCTTTGACAAAATTCAACCACCCTTCATGCTAAAAACTCTCAATAAATTAGGTATTGATGGAATGTATCGCAAAATAATAAGAGCTATCTATGACAAACCCACAGCCAATATCATACTGAATGGGCAAAAACTGGAAGCATTCCCTTTGAAAACTGGCACAAGACAGGGATGCCCTCTCTCACCACTCCTATTGAACATAGTGTTGGAAGTTCTGGCCAGGGCAATTAGGCAGGAGTAGGAAATAAAGGGTGTTCAATTAGGAAAGGAGGAAGTCAAATTGTCCCTGTTTGCAGACGACATGATTGTATATCTAGAAAACCCCATTGTCTCAGCCCAAAATCTCCTTAAGCTGATAAGCAACTTCAGCAAAGTCTCAGGATACAAAATCAATGTACAAAAATCACAAGCATTCTTACACACCAACAACACACAAACAGAGAGCCAAATCATGAGTGAAATCCCATTCACAATTGCTTCAAAGAGAATAAAATACCTAGGAATCCAACTTACAAGGGATGTGAAGGACCTCTTCAAGGAGAACTACAAACCACTGCTCAAGGAAATAAAAGAGGATACAAACAAATGGAAGAACATTCCATGCTCATGGATAGGCAAAATCAATATTGTGAAAATGGCCATACTGCCCAAGGTAATTTACAGATTCAATGCCATCCCCATCAAGCTACCAATGCCTTTCTTCACAGAATTGGAAAAAACTACTTGAAAGTTCATGTGGAACCAAAAAAGAGCCTGCATCACCAAGTCAATCCTAAGCCAAAAGAACAAAGCTGGAGGCATCACGCAACCTGACTTCAAACTATACTACAAGGCTACAGTAACCAAAACAGCATGGTACCGGTACCAAAACAGAGATATAGATCAATGGAACAGAACAGAGCCCTCAGAAATAACGCCACATATTTACAACTATCTGATCTTTGACAAACCTGAGAAAAACAAGCAATGGGGAAAGGATTCCCTATTTAATAAATGGTGCTGGGAAAACTGGCTAGCCATATGTAGAAAGCTGAAACTGGATCCCTTCCCTACACCTTACACAAAAATCAATTCAAGATGGATTAAAGACTTAAACGTTAGACCTAAAACCATAAAAACCCTAGAAGAAAACCTAGGCATTACCATTCAGGACATAGGCATGGGCAAGGACTTCATGTCTAAAACACCAAAAGCAATGGCAACAAAAGACAAAATTGACAAATGGGATCTAATTAAACTAAAGAGCTTCTGCACAGCAAAAGAAACTACCATCAGAGTGAACAGGCAACCTACAAAATGGGAGAAAATTTTTGCAACCTACTCATCTGACAAAGGGCTAATATCCAGAATCTACAATGAGCTCAAACAAATTTACAAGAAAAAAAACAAACAACTCCATCAAAAAGTGGGCGAAGGACATGAACAGACACTTCTCCAAAGAAGACATTTATGCAGCCAAAAAACACATGAAAAAATGCTCATCATCACTGGCCATCAGAGAAATGCAAATCAAAACCACAATGAGATGCCATCTCACACCAGTTAGAATGGCAATCATTAAAAAGTCAGGAAACAACAGGTGCTGGAGAGGATGTGGAGAAATAGGAACACTTTTACACTGCTGGTGGGACTGTAAACTAGTTCAACCATTGTGGAAGTCAGTGTGGCGATTCCTCAGGGATCTAGAACTAGAAATACCATTTGACCCAGCCATCCCATTACTGGGTATATAACCAAAGGACTATAAATCATGCTGCTATAAAGACACATGCACACGTATGTTTATTGCGGCATTATTCACAATAGCAAAGACTTGGAACCAACCCAAATGTCCAACAATGATAGACTGGATTAAGAAAATGTGGCACATATACACCATGGAATACTATGCAGCCATAGAAAAGGATGAGTTCATGTCCTTTGTAGGCACATGGATGAAATTGGAAATCATCATTCTCAGTAAACTATCGCAAGAACAAAAAACCAAACACCGCATATTCTCACTCATAGGTGGGAATTGAACAATGAGATCTCATGGACACAGGAAGAGGAATATCACATTCTGGGGACTGTTGTGGGGTGGGGGGAGGGATAGCATTGGGAGGTATACCTAATGCTAGATGACGAGTTAGTGGGTGCAGCGCACCAGCATTGCACATGTATACATATGTAACTAACCTGCACAATGTGCACATGTACCCTAAAACTTAAAGTATAATTAAAAAAAAAATAAATAAGACAGTGGCACACTAGCACAATAAAGAACAGTGCTGGCAAAAAAAAAAAAAAAGAAATTAACAAATGTAAAGATTTGCTGCATAAAGTTATAAATTTTATTCTTTTTAATTTTAAAGTTATAAATTTTATTCTTTTTAATTTTAAAGTCATAAATTTTATTCTTTTTAATTTTAAAGTTACAAATTTTATAAGATGATCTATAAACAGATCTACATTTGAATCCTAATGGCAACAATTTCTATAATAGGGACCTTGGAAAACTCATTTAAATTGCTTTAATTTTATTTCTTATCTATTAAATGGGATAATAATTTCCTCATATGATGGTAGAAAAATAATGTGCTTAGTTTATCGTAACTAATGATGTTACAGTGTTGTAAAGCAATGGATTGCTTTTTTTTTTTTTTTTTTTTGAGACAGAGTCTCGCTCTGTTGCCCAGTCTGGAGTGCAGTGGTGCGATCTCGGCAGCTCACTGAGACCTCTGCCTCCCAGGCTCAAGTGACTCTCCTGCATCAGCCTCCCCAGTAGCTGGGATTACAGGCATGTGCCACCACACTCGGCTACTTTTTTTGTATTTTTAGTAGAGACAAGGTTTAACCATGATGGCCAGGTTGGTCTCAAACTGCTGACCTCAAGTGATCTGCCTGCTTCAGCCTTCCAAAATGCTGGGATGGATTGTTTTTTTATGTAAAATATTTCAATGTATTAAATTTTTATATATTATCACCTACTGACAGTTTGATGTACTTTCTTCTCCTATCAGCATTCTCTTCTCCATCCCATCACCAGTAGCCTTTGCTCAATAGTTCACAGGTCTAACTATTCTTAGGGAGCCCAGGGTGATGCTCTTTCCCTTTGACTCTTCCATCCCTTCGTTCACATATTTTGCTCTGAGGTTCATTACTCAGAAAAGATAATTGAGTTTTATTGAGCTCAGCTACCTCTGAGACTGTTAAGAAAAGTATATAATTCTTCTCACTGGAAAAAACAATGCTCATAATACACCCTGGGACACACACACACACACACACACAAAAAAATGGTAAAACACACATTTCCTTTGTGTTTCCCTGGATACTTACTTATGTACACTGGTAGAGAGGATGGTTTGACAAGCCAACATCTGTATTTCTTAATCAGAACAAGAAGACTATAATAGCTGGCAGGAAGTACTAACCAGCTAACATACTATCCTTCCTAACTAATATTATATTTTTATATTAAAAGCTAAAAGTGCATTCTTCATCCAAAATTATTAAAATACAACTTTTTGTATTTAGAGATATGCTTCTATTGTTAGAGGTTTCCTTAAAATTACCATATGCCTTCACACTTTCTTAAAGAATATCAAACTTTAAAAGCAACATGTTAAGCTTTTCTTGATGTCTTTTGGCCGTTAGACTGATAATATCTTCTATTTAATTCTTTCTTCTCATTCTTGCTCTTGAGATATTAACAAGACTATCTCTTTTGTTAGTGGCTCCTAATCGTTGCCTGTTTGTGCATTTGTTTTTTTTTCTTCCCTTGCAATTTTCTGTGTTGTTAATTGCTCTTTTTTTTGAATCTAATAGTGTGAAATTCTACTTCTGTGTGTGAGCTGCCAGCAGTTTTAGAAATTAAAACAGGAAGATGATGAATATATTTCAAAACAGGGGCAGTGGCTCACACCTGCAATCCCAGCACTTTGGGAGGCTGAGTGTAGGAGTTCAAAACGAGACTGGGTGACAAGGTGAAATCTTGTTTCTACAAAAAATAAAAAAAAAAAATTAGCCAGATGTGATAGGGTGTACCTGTAGTCCATGCTCCTCCAGAAGCTGAGGTGGGAAGATTGCTTGATCTTGGGAGATTGAGGTTGCAGTGAGCCATGAAGGCACCTCCACTGCACTCCAGCCTGGGCAACAGAGTGAGACTCTGTCTCAAGAAAAAAAGAAAAGCTTTCTTTAGCACTTATCATATATTACTATGTAAATGGTTATTGGACTGGTTATGAGGAAGAAGAAAAATTTTCCATCTACATTTAACATTTGAATTAAGCAACTTACCTAAAATTCTCAGCAACACCATCATCTCAATAGAATTTAAGTTTGCCTTTCCCAGATTCTTTTATGTCAGAGTATGAATTCCCAGGGTTACGGATTCCTGAAACCCCTCAGGGTTTCACAATTTGGAGAATAGCTAACAAGGCAATTAAACTAAATTTTGTATTGATGAATTGGGGATTATTACTGAGAAAGGAGGAAAAATTTTGGAGACTATGATTCCCTTGTGAAAAATGTAATTAGTTATAATTTTTATTCTCATTCTCCCTTGAGTTGTGCAGAAGCTTAACTATAATATGTATACACATATATTATGTGTGTTATTAATATTCATATGTTTATATTTGCATATTAAAACACATACGAACTTCCTTACTAATATTTCTGTTGTATGTTGGATGTATCTCATTTTTCCCTCCAAATCCATTCTCCATCCTTCTAAACTCCTTTTTTTGCTCCAGGATGTTCACCTGTATTAATTTGCATCAGTGGGATCTTTGCTTACTATTTAATAGCTTTACCCAATGGTTATCAATGGCAGGGAGGACAGTGAAGGCAGAGAGTTTCCCCCAGGCTCCTTATCTACAGACATGGCACAACTGGTGTATCCATGGCCTTAGACCATAGCTACTAACAGGTGACCCTTTTTCAAAACTCTTTCTTCAGTGCCCATAACCTCTCTCTCTTCTTGTATGATTAAGGATAGAGGTGGTAACAGTGCTCAGAAGTTATTAGTTCTAGGGTGTATTAGTAAGCGTTCTCCAGAGAGACAGAACCAATAGGAGATAGAGAGATAGATAGATAGATAGATAGATAGATAGATAGATAGATAGATAGACAGACATAGAGGTTTACAAGAGGGGGTTTATTAGGAAAATTGGCTCACGTGATTAAGGAGGCTGAGAAGTCCGACAAAAGGCAGACTATATACCGGAGACCCTAGAATTCCAGTAGTGTGGTTCAGTCCAAGTTCAAAGGGCTGAGAACCCAAGAGGCTTGTGGTGTAAATCCTGGAGTTAAAAAGCTAAACAGCCTGGAGTTCTGATATCCAAGGACAGGAGGAGGAGTATATCCCAGCTCCAGAATAGAGACAAACCAATTCACATGTCCTCTGTTTTTATTCTCTCTGGGCCCCCAGTTGATTGGATGGTGTCAACCTGCATTAATTGCAGATCTTCCTCATTTAATCCATTCCATTTCACATGCCAATTTTCTCTGGAAACACCCTCACAGACATACCTTAAAATGATGATTTATTATTTCTCTAGGTATGCCTTAATCCAGTCAAGTTGATACCTAAAATTAACCATTAAATAGGCTTATTCCCAGAATTTCCTTGGAATTACCTACATCACAAATGTTTCTTTGTAGTAATCCCTTTATTAAACCCTGCTCAAATGAACCAATTTTAATGGCCATCTTTACTTGCAAGATTTGTGACTACCACTGGTCCTAGAAGTAGTCCAAGAAGATAAATATTCACAAGGGATTGGGTTGTTTACGTATTTGAAGATTAGGTGGAGAAATATGTGATGGAAGAAATGAGACATTAATAATGTATGAAATCCTGTGACATCAAATTTACATAAATGATCACCAGTGGCATCAAAGTATGAAGGGCAGATCAAGGGCAAGGTATTGAGAGATAAATTTACTGTGACAAAGGCATGAATATAGTGATTATAAATCTTATGTGGTGAGCTGGATTTGCTGAAATTAAAATCTGTTACCATCCAACTGAAAAAACAAACAGGAAGTCAAAATGATTCTTATCTTCTGTAGTCCTTGGGAAAATATAGTGAAAAACAAGTGCTATGGGCCAGGCGTGGTGGCACATGCCTGTAATCCCAGTGCTTTGGGAGGACAAGGCAGGAGAATCACTTGAGGCCAGACTAGCCTGGGCAACATAGTGAGACCTTCGTCTCTATAAAAAATAAAAAATTAGCTGCATGTGGTGTGCACCTGTAGTCTCAGCCACTCAGAATGCTGAGCTGAGAGGATCATGTGAGCCTGAGGATGTGAGGCTGCAGTGAGCTATGATTGCACCACATCACTCCAGCCTGAGTGACAGAGCAACACCGTGTCCCCAGAAAAAAAATGCTATGTCCTGATTGCTGGCATTGCAAAGATGTAGCCCAAATAAATGCTTAATGTCGGCAAGTATTTAATGAGAAAGGTGTGATGTCCTGAGACATAGGATTGAGAGCATTTAGGCCGAGAAAGACAAGTGTGAGAATTCTGAACCTCAAATTCTCTTGAGCCTCTTTTTAAAAATGGGTTTTTTCCCCCCAGAACCTGAGAGAACAAGGACTTTCCCTGGATGAATGCATTTTACTGACTGCACCTGAAAGAGGAGATCACATGCTGTTACCATTCTCCTCAATGCCCAGTCCCATTATTCCACATTACTTCTGGGTTCCTGATGAAACTTAAAAATCATCATAGCCCAGACAGTGAGATATCAAATCTGATCTGGTAGGCTGGGCATAGTGGTTTATGCCTGTAATCCCAGTGCTTTCAGAGGCTGAGGTGGGTGGATCATGAGGTCAGGAGTTCGAGACCCTCCTGGTCAACATGGTGAAATCCTGTTTCTACTAAAAATACAAAAAATTAGCCAGGTATGGTGGCAGTCACCTGTAATCCCACCTACTCAGGAGGCTGAGGCAGGAGAACTGCTTGAACCCGGGTGGCAGAGGTTGCAGTGAGCCAAGATCATGCCACTGCACTCCAGCCTCGGCAATAGAGTGAGACTCTGTCTCAAAAAAAAAAAAAATCTGATCTGGTAATATTTACAGGACCTTATCAATTTCTACTGGCAAGTGTCTGGGGAACAAGTTCAGGAATGGATTCTTAGACATGAGACCAAAGAGAAAAATATATTAAGTTTCATATGGCCAAGTTGATTGACATGGGCATATTCACCATGGATTTGAGATTTAATGTGATCGATTGAGTTCCTGGAATAATGGCAATAATTTTCTAAGCTGTTTAACTGAATGTTAAACTGAAAGCAGTTATAGTTATGTGAAGGGGGCCAGCCCCACCACACCTGTGGGTGTATCTCGTCAGGTGGGACAAGAGACTGAGAAAAGAAATAAGACACAGAAACAAAGCACAGAGAAAGAACAGTGGGCCCAGGAGACCGGCACTCAGAATACCAAGGACCTGCACCGGCACCGGTCTTTGAGTTCCCTTCAGTTTTTATTGATTATTACTTTCACTATCTCAGCAAGAGGAATGTGGTAGGAGAGCAGGGTGATAATAGGGAGAAGGTCAGCAAAAAAACATGTGAGCAAAAGAATCTGTGTCATAATTAAGTTCAAGGGGAGGTACTATACCTGGATGTGCACATAGGCCAGATTTATGTTTCTCTCCACCCAAACATCTCAATGGAGTAAAGAATAACAAAGCAGCATTGCTGCCAACATGTCTCGCCTCCTGCCACAGGGCGGTTTTTCTCCTATCTCAGAATAGAACAAAGGTGCAATCGGGTTTTATACCGAGACATTTGGTTCCCAGGGACAGGCAAGAGACGGTGGCCTTCCTCTATCTCAACTGCAAGAGACTTTCCTCTTTTACTGATCCTCCTCAGCACAGACCCTTACTGGTGTCAGCCTGGGGGATGGTCATATCTTTCCCATGCCACGAAGCCATATTTCAGACTATCACGTGGGGAGAAACCTTGGACAATACCTGGCTTTCCAGAGCAGAGGTCCCTGCAGCTTTTCGCAGTGCATTGTGCCTCTGGTTTATCGAGACTAGAGAATGGCAATGACTTTTACCAGGCATACTGCCTGTAAACATTTTGTTAACAAGGCACATCCTGCACAGCCCTAGATCTCTTAAACCTTGATTCCATACAACACATATTTTTGTGAGCTCAAGGTTGGAGCAAAGAGGTTGGGGCAAAGTGGCTGGGGCAAAGTTACAGATTAACAGCATCTCAGGGCAAAGCAATTGTTCAGGGTACAGGTCAAAATGAAATTTCTTATATCTTCCCTTTCTATACAGACACAGTAACAGTCTGATCTCTCCTTCTTTTCTCTACACTTATGGAGGTAAAAATGTTTGATCAACCTGACAGACTACAGAAGATGATGTCTGAAAGTATCTGAAGATAGATATATTGTAACTGATGCCATATGTGTAATCCGCTCTGTCACTGCCTAACTAACCATCACTGCCTGCTCTTCCCCCACCCCACAATCTCTCATCTGGCTCACCCTAGGGCTCCAGGGATCTCATTTTATTAATGCATTAAGGAATACACCGTTGACAAAGTCATTGTCATTGTTGGAAAGCTCTGCAGGGCTCCCAGTGTAGGCTAGGGATGATGATGAGTAAAACTGCTGTGGAATTAAGTTTCCAGGGTAGTAGAAACTGGTTTATGGTGCATAACTGTCAGAGATAAGATGGAAGCAATTTCCCATACATATTGCAGGATGTAGGTGGTAATCAGGTATTTTGTTGTGCAGACATCTGTAGCAACGTCTTATGGATTTGGTGGATGCTAAGTAATGAATTATATGGCTAACAAATCAAGGTGCTTTTTTCTTTTCTTTTCTTTTATTATTATTATATCTTAAGTTTTAGGGTACATGTGCACAATGTGCAGGTTAGTTACATATGTATACATGTGCCATGCTGGTGTGCTGCACCCATTAACTCGTCATTTAGCATTAGGTATATCTCCTAAAGCTATCCCTCCCCCCTCCCCCCACCCCACAACAGTCCCCAGAGTGTGATGTTCCCCTTCCTGTGTCCATGTGTTCTCATTGTTCAGTTCCCACCTATGAGTGAGAATATGCGGTGTTTGGTTTTTTGTTCTTGCGATAGTTTACTGAGAATGATGATTTCCAATTTCATCCATGTCCCTACAAAGGACATGAACTCATCCTTTTTTATGGCTGCATAGTATTCCATGGTGTGTATGTGCCACATTTTCTTAATCCAGTCTATCATTGTTGGACATTTGGGTTGGTTCCAAGTCTTTGCTATTGTGAATAGTGCCACAATAAACATACGTGTGCATGTGTCTTTATAGCAGCATGATTTATATTCCTTTGGGTATATACCCAGTAATGGGATGGCTGGGTCAAATGGTATTTCTAGTTCTAGATCCCTGAGGAATCGCCACACCGACTTCCACAATGGTTGAACTAGTTTACAGTCCCACCAACAGTGTAAAAGTGTTCCTATTTCTCCACATCCTCTCCAGCACCTGTTGTTTCCTGACTTTTTAATGATTGCCATTCTAACTGGTGTGAGATGGTATCTCATTGTGGTTTTTGATTTGCATTTCTCTGATGGCCAGTGATTAAAGCCTTAAATGTTAGACCTAAAACCATAAAAACCCTAGAAGAAAACCTAGGCATTACCATTCAGGACATAGGCATGGGCAAGGACTTCATGTCTAAAACACAAAAAGCAATGGCAACAAAAGCCAAAATTGACAAATGGGATCTAATTAAACTAAAGAGCTTCTGCACAGCAAAAGAAACTACCATCAGAGTGAACAGGCAACCTACAAAATGGGAGAAAATTTTCACAACCTACTCATCTGACAAAGGGCTAATATCCAGAATCTATAATGAACTCAAACAAATTTACAAGAAAAAAACAAACAACCCCACCAAAAAGTGGGCAAAGGACTTGAGCAGACACTTCTCAAAAGAAGATATTTATGTAGCCAAAAAACACATGAAAAAATGCTCACCATCACTGGTGCTTTTTTCTTATAAAAAGGAAATATTTTATTTGTACAGGAATGTAAAAGAAGTCAATTTCCTCTAGTAGGGAAACACAAGCTCATAAAATTCTCCCACCTATGCTCAGCTATTTCACAACCACTGAAACCATAGACTGAAAGAGAGGCTAGAACCGTTTGTGAAAATCTCTGAAGCTTAGCCTCGGGTATACAGTCTATGTTGCTTAATGATGGGAAAATGTTCTGAGAAATGCATTGTTAGGTGGTTTAATTATTGTGCAAACATCATACAGTATAATTACACAAACCTAGATGGTGCAACCTACTACACACTTAGGCTGTATGGTATAGCCCATTGCTTCTATGCTAAAACCTGTACGGCAGGTTACTGCATTAAACACCGTAGACAATTGTAACTTAATGATAAATGTTTGTGTATCTAAACATAGAAAAAGCATAGTAAAACTACTGTAGCACACTTGGCATGAATGGAGCTTGCGAGACTGGAAGTTGCTCTGGGTGAGTCAGTGAGAGTGATGAGTGAAAGTGAAAGCCTATGACATCACTGTACACTAATGTATACTTTATAAATACTAGACAATTAGGCTACGCCCAATTTATACAAACATTTTTATTTCTTCAATGTTTAATTAACCTTAGTTTACTGTACTTTTTTAACTTTATAAACTTTTAAATATTTTTAAACTTTTTGATTCTTTGTAGTAACACTTAGAACACATATTGTACAGCATTAGAAAAATATTGTCTTTCTTTACATCTTTATTCTAAAGTTTTTTATTTTAAAAAATATTTATTTTTGCTTTAATTTTTCTTTTGTTAAAAACTAGACACAAACACACAAATTAGCCTAGGCTTACACAAAGTCAGGATCATCAATATCACTGACTTCCACCTCCACATCTTGTCTTACCGGATGGTCTTCAAGGTCAATAACATGCATGGAGCTGTCATTTCCTGTGGTAACAATGCCTTCTCCTGGAATACCTCCTGAAGGACCTGCCTGTGGCTGTCTTATGGTTTACTTTTTTATTTAAGTGAAAAAAGCATTCTCTAAAGTAATGATTAAAAGTATAGTGTGACAAATAAATAAGCTGGTAACACGGTCACTTATTATCATCATCAAGTATTATATATTGTGCGTAATTGTAGGTGCTGTACTTTAAAATGACTGTCAGTGTAGTAGGTTTGTTTACAGCAGCATCACCACAAACATGTGAGTAAAGCATTGCACTATAATGTTACAAGGGTTATGATGTCACTAGGTGACAGAAATTTTCACGCTCCATTATAATCTTATGGGGCCACCATCACATATGCAGCTCATCATTTACTGGAATGTCATTCGTAAGGGCATGACTATATTTACGTCTTTCTCCGTGCATTTTCATGAATGATTTTCAGACATTTACCAGAGTAATCCTACACTCTGCAAAACACATCCCAGACCTTTTGGGTATTGTTGGATATCGGTTTTGGAATGACACTAATGTCTAGAGGTGGGAAAATGCCAGTGAGGTACATTCTCACCAGTGTGGCTAATGAAAGCAATTTGAAAGATTATTTTGGCCTGAGTGCATCTCTAGATGGGTTCAATGGCACCAAGTATATAGCTCATGATTATCTACCCAGGCCCGAAAATTATATTGGGTATAGACACACAGAATGAAGCAAAATCTTCATTTTAGTTTACTTTCTTTGACACTTGAAATGAGAATTATCATTGTTGAAAGGTTCACATGCAAATGAAGTTCTTGAAATTGCTACCTGAAGACACTCTCTGTGATAATAGTAAAGAAAATTCAGCATCACATCCCTGAGAGAAATGCTTTTTGATGGAATCCCCAAGGCTTCATGACTGAGTTCTGGAAACAAAGAGAAAAGAAATATTTTGTCAAGCAAAATGACATCTTTTTATCTTTCAATACCTTTTATCTTTGAATCTTTGAATCTCTGAAAACCTACAAGTCATCCCTTTATTGTACCGTGGGAAAAGTGTATCACCGTTACAAATGGATTTGAAGAGAAATTCCTCTATCCAACTCACCTAGTGCTCATTTGTGCAAGCCCACTCTGGAAGTTCAGAATGGAGGAAGGACTGATGGAAGGCAAGGGACAGAGAGCATGACAAAACACCCTAGGTTTGTGAGGGACCACACATGCAGAGCCAGCAGACAGAGCTGCTCAGGGAAAGCGTGTCCTGGGGCAGAGGCCAGAAGCCATTTTGGGGAAAGACAGAAAAAAGGACCAAGGATTGCATATATCTAACATATGGGTGATTAAGGATCTTCTGTGATTAAGGAGATCTCATTAAACAGAATGGAAAGATGAGATTTGAGTAGTTTCTACCTCTGTAGGTAGAAATGGAATCGGAGGCTTTGCAGTTGTTGAATTGTGACCCCATTATAAATCACTAGCCCCTCTCACCAACTGAACACCAATCTGACAACTTTACAAGATAATGGGTCAGGTTTCTTTGCAGGATATGTAAAGGTCATACATTACAGCCTTTCTGTCTAGGCACATCTTATGCTACTCACCACCACCATGTCCTTGTTAGTGATGACTCACAGAACTCAGTGCTGTTACCTGGAAAAACCTCCAGTATTACCACCTGTAACGTTTGTCTGTGGTTTTCTTTTTTTTGTTATGTCCTTTGCTGGCTTTCGTATCAGTGTGATGTTGGTCTTATAAAATGAGGTAGGGAGGATTCCTTCTTTCTCAATCTTTTGGAATAGTTTCAGTAGGATTGGTATCAATTCTTCTTTGAATGTCTGGGAGAATTCAACTATGAATCCATCTGGCTCTGGACATTTTTCTCATTGGCAATTTTTATTACTGATTCCATCTCACTGCTTGTTATTGGCCTGTTTCTATTTCTTCCTGATTCAAGCTGGGAGAGTCATATGTTTCCAGGAATTTATCCATTTCCTCTAGATTTTCTAGTTTATGTGCATAGAGATGCTTGTAGTTGTCTTGAATGATCTTTAGTATTTCTGTGGTGTTTGTTGTAACGTCTCCATTTTCATTTCTAATAGAGCTTATTTGAAACTTCTCCCACAGGCCAACATTCAAATTCAGGAAATACAGAGAACACCACAAAGATACTCCTCGAGAAGAGCAACCCCAAGACACATAATTGTCAGATCAAGGTTGAAATGAGGAAAAAGTGTTAAGGCAGCCAGAGAGAAAGGTCGAGTTACCCACAAAGGGAAGCCCATCAGACTAACAGTGGGTCTCTCAGCAAAAACCCTACAAGCCAGAAGAGAGTGTGGGCCAATATTCAACATTCTTAAAGAAAAGAGTATTCAACCTAGAATTTCATATCCAGCCAAACTAAGCTTCATAAGTGAAGGAGAAATAAAATCCTTTACAGACAAGCAAATGCTGAGAGATTCGTCACCACCAGGCCCGCCTTTGAAGGGCTCCTGAAGGAAGCACTAAACATGGAAAGGAACAACCAGTACCAGCCACTGCAAAAACATGCCAAATTGTAAAGACCATCAATTCTATGAAGAAACTGCATCAATAAATAGCAAAATAACCAGTGAACATCAAAATGACAGGATCAAATTCACACATAACAATATTAACCTTAAATGTAAATGGGCTAAAGGCCCCAATTAATAGACACAGACTGGCAAATTGGATAAAGAGTCAAGAACCATCAGTGCGCTGTACTCAGGAGACCCATCTAATGTGCAAAGACACACATAAGCTCAAAATAAAGGGATGGAGGAAGACCTACAAGCAAATGGAAAGCAAAAAAAAAAAAAAGCAGGGGTTGCAATCCTAGCCTCTGATGAAACAGACTTTAAACCAACTAAGATCAAAAGAGACAAAGAAGGCCACTACATAATGGTAAAGGGATCAATTAAACAAGAAGAGCTAACTATCCTAAATACATATGCACCCAATACAATAGCACCCAGATTCATAAAGCAAGTCCTTAGAGACCTACAAAGAGACTTAGACTCCCACACAATAATAATGGGAGACTTCAACACCCCACTGTCAATATTAGACAGATCAATGAGACAGAAGATTAACAAGGATATCCAGGACCTGAACTCAGCTCTGCAACAATAGACATCTAATAGACATCTACAGAACTCGCCACCCAAAATCAACAAATGTACACTCTTCTCAGCAACACATCAAACTTATTCTAAAATTGACCACATAATTGGAAGTAAAGCACTCCTCAGCAAATGTAAATGAACAGAAATCACAACAAACAGTCTCTCAGACCACAGTGCAATCAAATTAGAACTCAGGATTAAGAAACTCACTCAAAACTGTACAACTACATGGAAACTGAAAAACCTGCCCTGAAGGACTACTGGGTAAATAATGAAATGAAGGCAGAAATAAAGATGTTCTTTGAAACCAATGAGAACAAAGACAAAATGTACCAGAATCTCTGGGACACATTTAAAGCAGTGTGTAGAGGGAAATTGATACCACTAAATGCCCATAAGAGAAAGCAGGAAAGATCTAAAATTGGTACCCTAACATCACAATTAAAAGAACCAGAGAAGCAAGAGCAAACATATTCAAAAGCTAGCAGAAGGCAAGAAATAACTAAGATCAGAGCAGAACTGAAGGAAATAGAGACACAAAAAAATCCTTCAAAAAAATCAATGAATCCAGGAGCTGGTTTTTTGAAAAGATCAACAAAATTGATAGACTGCTAGCAAGACTAACAAAGAAGAAAATAGAGAAAAATCAAATAGATGCAATAAAAAATGATAAAGGGAATATCACCACCGATCCCACAGAAATACAAACTACCATCAGAGAATACTATAAACACCTCTATGCAAATAAACTAGAAAATCTAGATGAAATGGATAAATTTCTGGACATATACACCATCCCAAGACTAAACCAGGAAGAAGTTGAATCTCTGAATAGACCAATAACAGGATCTGAAACTGAGGCAATAATTTATATCCTACCAACCAAAAAAAATCCAGGACCAGATGCATGCACAGCCAAATTCTACCAGAGGTGCAAAGAAGAACTGGTACCATTCCTTCTGAAACTATTCCAATCAAGAGAAAAAGAGGGAATCCTTCCTAACTCATTTTATGAGGCCAATATCTCCTGATACCAAAGCTTGGAAGATACACAACAAAAAAAGAGAATTTTAGACCAATATCCCTGATGAACATTGATGTGAAAATCCTCAATGAAATACTGGCAAACCGAATCCAGCAGCACATCAAAAAGCTTCTCCAGCACAGTCAAGTCGGCTTCCTGCCTGGGATGCAAGGCTGGTTCAATATATGCAAATCAATAAACGTAATCCATACATAAACAGAACCAATGACAAAAACCACATGATTATCTCAATAGATGCAGAAAAGGCCTTTGACAAAATTCAACAGCCCTTCATGCTAAAAACTCTCAATGAACTAGGTATTGATGGAATGTATCTCAAAATAATGAGCTATTTATGACAAAAACTGGAAGCATTCTCTTTGAAAACTGGCACAAGACAGGGATGCCCTCTCTCACCACTCCTATTCAACATAGTGTTGGAAATTCTGGCCAGGGCAATCAGGCAAGAGAAAGAAATAAAGGCATTCAATTAAGAAATGAGGAAGTCAAATTGTCCCTGTTTGCAGATGACATGATTGTATATTTAGAAAACCCCATCATCTCAGCCCAAAGTCTCCTTAAGCTGATAAAGAACTTCAGCAAAGTCTCAGGATACAAAATCAATGTGCAAAAATCACAAGTATTCCTATACACCATTAACAAACAGAAAGAGAGCCAAATCATGAGTGAACTCCCATTCACAATTGCTTCAAAGAGAATAGAATACCTAGGAATCCAGCTTACAAGGGATGTGAAGGGTCTCTTCAAGGAGAGCAACAAACTACTGCTCAATGAAATACAAGAGGACACAAACAAATGGGAAAATGTTCCATGCTTATGGATAGGAAGAAACAATATCATGAAAATGGCCATACTGCCCAAAGTAATTTATAGATTCAATGCTATCTCCACCAAGCTACCAATGCCTTTCTTCACAGAATTGGAAAAAACTACTTGAAAGTTCATATGGAACCCAAAAAGAGTCCGTATTGCCAAGACAATCCTAAGCCAAAAGAACAAAGCTGGAGGCACCACGGTACCTGACTTCAAACTACACTACAAGGCTACAGTAATAAAAACAGCATGGTACTGGTACCAAAACAGATATATAGACCAATGGAACAGAATAGAAGCCTCAGAAATAACACCACACATCTACAACCATCTGATATTTGACAAACCTGACAAAAACAAGAGATGGGGAAAGGATTCCCCAGTTAATAAGTGGTGCTGGGAAAACTGGCTAGCCATATGTAGAAAGCTGAAACTGAATCTCCCTTCCTTACACCTTATACAAAAATTAATTCAAGGTGGATTAAACACTTAAATGTTAAACCTAAAACCATAAAACCCTAGAAGAAAACCTAGGCAATGCCATTCAGGACATAGGCATGGGCAAGAACTTCATGACTAAAACACCAAAAGCAATGGGAACAAAAGCCAAAATAGACAAATGGGATCTAATCAAACTAAAGAACTTCTGCCCTGCAAAAGAAACTACCATCAGAGTGAAAAGGCAACCTACAGAATGGGAGAAAATTTTAGCAATCTACCCATCTGACAAAGGGCGAATATAGAGAATCTACAAAGAACTCAAACAAATTTACAAGAAAAAAACAAACAACCCTATCAAAAAGTGGGCACAGGATATGAACAGACGCTTCTCAAAAGAAGACATCTATGTAGCCAACAGACACATGAAAAATGCCCATCATCACTGGCCATCAGAGAAATGCAAATCAAAACCACAATGAGATACCATCTCACACCAGTTAGAATGGCAATCATTAAAAAGTCAGGAAACAACAGATGCTGGAGAGGGTGTGGAGAAATAGGAATGCTTTTACACTGTTGGTGGGAGTGTAAATTAGTTCAACCATTGTGGAAGACAGTGTGGCGATTCCTCAAGGATCTAGAACTAGAATTACCATTTGATGTAGCAATCCCATTACTGGGTATATACCCAAAGGATTATAAATCATGCTACTATAAAGACACATGCACACGTATGTTTTTTGTGGCACTACAATAGCAAAGACTTGGAACCAACCCAAATGTCCACCAATGATTGACTGGATTAAGAAAATGTGGCACATATACACCATGGAATACTATGCAGCCACAGAAAAGGATCAGTTCATGTCCTTTGCCGGTAAATGGATGAAGCTGGAAACCATCATTCTCAGCAGACTATCACAAGGACAGAAAACCAAACACCACATGTCTCACTCATAGGTGGGAATTGAACAATTAGATCACTTGGACACTGGGCAGGGAACATCACACACTGGGACCTGTCAGGGAGTGGTGGGCTGGGGGAGGGATAGCATTAGGAGAAGTACCTAATGTAAATGATGAGTTGATGGGTGCAGCAAACCTACATGGCACATTTATACCTATGTATCAAACATGCACGTTGTGCACATGTACCCTAGAACTGAAAGTATAAATTTTAAAAAAAGGAAAAAAAAGAGAAACTTCTCTCTTCTTAGTTAATAGCTAATGGTCTACCAATTTTTTGTCTTTCCAAAAAACCATTTTTTTAGTCTGAATTTCATTTAGTTCTGCTCTGATCTTTGTTATTTCTTTTCTTCTGCTAGCTTTGGGTTTGGTTTCTTCTTGTTTCTCTACTTCCTTGAGATGTAACATTAGGTTGTCAATTTGTGATCTTTCAGACAGAGTAACATATGCATTTAGCACTATAAACTTTCCTCTTAGCACTGTTTTTGCTGCATCCCAGAGGTTTTGATAATTTGCGTCACTGTTATCATTAATTTTGAAGAATTTTAAAATTTCAATGTTGATTCCTTTATTAAACCAAAAATCATTCAGGAGCTGATTGTTTAATTTCCATGTGTTTATGTAGTTTTGAGGATTCCTATTGGAATTGATTTCTAGTTTTGTTCTCTTGTGATCTGAGAAGATACTTGATATGATTCTGATATTTTTACATTTGTTAAGACTTGCTTGTGGCCTATCATATAGTCTACCTTGGAGAATATTCCATATGCTAATGAGAAGAATGTATATTCAGCTCTTGGGTAGAATGTTATGTAAGTATCTGTTAGGTTCATTGTTTTTTTTTTTTTGGAGTTCAGTTTAAAGCCCAGTGTTTCTTTGTTGACTTTCTGCCTAGATAATGTCTAGTATTGTCACCAGAGTACTGAAGTTCCCCACTACTATTTTGTTGCTCACTATCTCTTTTCTTAGGCCTAGTAATAATTGTTTTATGAGTTTAGGAGCTCCAGAGTTAGATGCATTTATATTTATAATTGTTACATCTTCTTTTTGGATTGATCCTTTTATCGTTATGTAATGACCTCCTTCATCTTTTTTTTTAGTGTTGTTGCTTTAAAGTCTGTTTTATCTGATACAGGAATAGCTATTCTTGCTTGCTTGCTTTTGGTTTCCATTTGCATGGAATATCTTTTTCACCCCTTTACCTGCAAGAATCCTTACATGTTAGGTGTGTCTCTTGAAGACAGCAGATGTTTGGTTTGTGATTTTTAAAAATTTATTATGCCATTCTGTATTCACATTCAGTGTTAATATTGAGATGTGGGGTACTGTTCCAGTAATCATGTTTGTTGCTACCTAAGACTTTGTTTTCTTCATTGTGTTCTTATTTTAAAGGACCTGTGAATTTTATGCTTTCAAGGTGTCCTATTCTGGTGCATATCAACCTTTTGTTTCAAGATTTAGAAATCCTTTTAGCATTTCTAGTCTGGTAGTGACAAATCTCCTCAACCTTTTTTTGTTTGAGAAATACTTTATTCCTCCTTCATTCATGAAACTTAGTTTTGCTGGATAAAAAATTCTTGGCTGACCATTATTCGGTTTAAGGAGGCTAAAGATAGGACCCCAATCTCTCCTAGCTTGTAAGGTTTCTGCTGAGAAGTCTGCTGTTAGTCTGATAGGTTTGTTTTATAGGTTACTTGGTGCATTTTTTCTTATTGCTGTTAGAATTCTTTCCTTTACGTTGACTTTAGATAGCATGATGACCGTATGCCTTGGTGATGACCTTTTTGCAGTGAATTCCCCAGGAGTCCTTTAAGCTTCTTGTGTTTGGTTGCCTAAATGTCTTGCAAGGCCAGGGAAGTTTTCCTCAATTATTCCCTCAAAAAAGGTTTTCAAACTTTTTGCCTTTCCTTCTCAATCAGGAACACAAATTATTTTTAGGTTTGGATGTTTTACATAATCTTATATTTCTTGGAGACTTTGTTGATTTCTTTTTATTCTTTTTCCTTTAGTTTTGTATGATTGGGTTAATTCAAACCCTTGTCTTCAAATTCTGAAATTCTTTTTTCTACACTGTCTAGTCTATTATTAAAATTTTCTGTGGAATTTTGTTATTCTTTAAATATGTCTTCAATTTTCAACAGTTCTGATTGTTTTTTCTTCAAAATATCTATCTGTTTAGAAAACTTTTCAGTTGTATTCTTGTTTTAAAAATTATTTTACACTAGTTTTTACCTTTTTCATGTAAATCCTTGAGTAGCTTAATAATCAACCTTTCGAATTCTTCATCTGGTATGTCAAAAATTTCATCTTGGTTTGGATCCATCGCTAGAGAGCTTGTGTGATCTTTTGAGAGTGTTTTTTTAAAAACATTACCAGAATTACTTTTCTGGTTTCTTCTCAGGTGGGTAGACTATTTGTTCTAATTATTTTTAAACTTATTTTTTATTTGACTGTGCTGTATTTTTTGTTTCTTTTTTATGCCCTTGGGGATGTGACTTTACTGTTTATAGTTTATTATTGTAATTTAGTTCAGCTCTGAAAGTTTTAAAGGTTGAAGAGTATATGATTCCTTGGTTATAGAATCTTTGTTCAGTGGCTTTCTCAGATGCTGTTTGTGGTAGCAATGTTCTTGGTGTGTGAGCAGGTTCACTGTATCCTGTGGGGCTGGAATGACAGAGGTCTCATGAAGCTTATCTTGTTCCCCAGTAATGTGCATTTATTTATTTATTCTCCCAGTACTTTGTTAACTGAATTGAACCATTCAGGCTTCAGGCCAGCAGGAGGTGTTCATGGGTAAAAACCAGCTCTAGCTAAAGCAAGTGGGTAAATGCAATGCCAAGTGGTAGGCAGAGGTCCCCGCTCCGACAGAGACAGCTGAGGGAGCCCTCACTGAAACACAGTGAGGTCTTTACAGAGGGTTGGGAGGAAGCCACCTTAGCTCTCCTACCAGGCCAGCAGGAAACTGATCCACCTCCAAGGCACATGAGTCACAAACTGTACCTAGTGTTCTGGTTATTCAGATCAGACCAGCACCTCTTTTCATCTGCAGGAATGCTGATGTTGCATGTGGAGAGGGATTGTGACTCTACCTCTCAGGCAGCCTGAATCTGGAGGGCACTCCTGTGGGGATGAAATTACCCTGAAGTGTTCCAGAAATGCTACAGCTGCACCCACACAGAGCTCCTTTGGGAGAAGCCCCAGCTGTGTCCAAAATTGTAGGTGAGAGGGAGAAGAAGTACCCGTCTCCAGACCCTTCACAAGCACCAGGGCTGCCTGACTGTTGAGGTAGAGCTACAGACTTTCCCCACTGAGGCAAGCACTGCACTTGTCCCTCTGCTGAAATTTACCACAAGTGGAAAGTCTGAGACCCAAGGCCTGCCATCTGGATTCCTTTGTCTCATGGGGTACTCTCTTGATGTGGTGCACTTCCTGTTCCCCTAAGAGTAAGAGTCCCTCAGGGACAGACTACTGTGAATTCTGCTTCTTCTCTGGGTTTAGACACCCAGTGTGGTTGCTACACACCAGGCTGGTTCTGGGGAATGTCTGCAAGTGATTCAGCAATGTGACCTGTCTTCAAGTCTCCCAGCAGCAGGTATCAACACAAGATCTGATGGCATGGTAGGAGACTGATGTAGACTCTGTAAGATCTGCTTGGTTATAAATAACTTTAGTGTTTTGGCTTTCTCAGATGCCAGTTGTAGTACTAATGAACAGGTCACATGGGCAGACACAAGACCTCCTGGTTAGCCAGGGTGATGCAGGCAATATTGATAGCTGAGGTCACACAAAAGTTTTATCCTTCCTGGGTGCTGTGTTGCTCTGCCTGCAGATGCCATAATGTACTGTGTTGATTGGCCTCCACACAGAAGGTTGTGCACCAGCTGCGGTGGTAGCAGTGATCTTTGTGTTTGCCTTACGTTACCCAGAGAAGGTACTCTGGTCTTTCAGACAATGGGCATGGCCATAGACCTACCAAAAGTCTGTGTTCTTTTATTCAGTTACGAGGCTGGGTAGAGGGGCAAAGCTAGGTAAGGTCTAGGTCAGACAAGTCTGCACTCTGGTTGCCCATGTATGGGCACAAGTAGTCACCCCAGTGAGGATTGGATGGCAGTTCCATGGCCACTAGGATGATGCTTCAGTGAGGAGTACACCTGCTCCTGCTGAACAGATGAGTCCACATGGGGAGTGGGGAGTAGCAAGCAGTATTAAGCCCCAACCAGCTCCCACATACGTGGCAAGACAGGTCTCATACCTGCAGTATTCCACCTGCAGCAGGTACCTGGTTTACAGGCAGCCAGCACTCAGAACTCAAAATGACACAAGGCCATTCCTGAGGGAGACAGACCATAGCTTTCAGACCATGTCCTTCCCATTTGTCCCATGAAGCAGGAACACCCAGCTCCTGTGCCCAAGGCTTTAGCAAACTTTCTACTTGTGCCTCAGTTCTGGACAAGTGGTTTCATCTTCAATCAGGATTATATCACAAATCTCAGGAGCTTCTCTTAACCAGTGACTGCCATGTGAGTTAGCTGGCTGACTTCTGCAAAGTCCTCTGTGCTGTAGAGGATCAGGAATGGCTTCCCAGGTCCCCCCGGTGACTGGGAGTGCATGCAAAGCATGTCCTGATCCTGCTCCTTCTCATATACTCCCCACTGCTCAGTACGTCAGCTCCAGTCCTGGGTAGGCTTAAGGCCTTCCTCCGTGGCCTGGATTGCCAGGTTTCCCAGTGGGAGTGCATACACCTGATGCAGTTTCTGCCACCCTCGTGCTGGAGACTCACGGTTTTCCACCTGGCTTATGGTGTAGGCTGCAGCCACCACTTCCTTCAAAGGGCCTGTGGTTTCATTCAGTTTTCCTGTTAAGTTCCTGTGTTGCTTCTTGGAAGAAGGCTCATAGCATGTCTCTGCACTATTTGGTCTTTGCAAGTGGAAGAAGCACACTAACAAAACCTTCAGTCTACCATCTTGAAAAACTACTAACAAGGTAATTTTATATGAGAAAACCAATCAGTTAACGGCCAAAACAGAAAAAAGAAGAAAAATAATAGACCTTCCTAAGCAGGAGGGTATTCTCCGGCACTCTGCTCCCGGATTTAATCTGCACCATTGACTGTTTGGGTCTCTAAGCTGCCAGCCTGCAGGTGCTCCAGCAGCATTCCTTGGTCTCAAGTCTCCTAGGCCACACTGCAGGTTTAGCCTTGACAGGCTTCAAAATTAATCTGTACACACACACACAAACACACACACACACATATCACACACACATATATGCACACATTCTATTGGTTCTACTTCTCTGAAGAATCCAGACTAATGAAACCACTAAGAGTTGTGCATTTTTCAAAGAACATTAAATTTAGGAGATCTTTTGTAAGGACGAGACCACAGTATACTTTTGTACTTTTAGAAATGTTTTATTTATTAAAACTCATATCAACAAGAAAAATCTTACAAATCACTTTACCTTAAGAATTTCAAATTCATTTTTGACCTCAGTAGTTAAATTTCCGTAGGAATTTGTATTTTACTTTCAAATTAATATGAAAGATTTTTCTGAATACTTCAAATCAATAAGTTGCAGATGAAACATTTCCAAAAGTGAATGCAAAACTTACTGCTAAATTTACACTTAAACATATTTCTAAATTATGTTATAAAACATGCTGCATGCTTCTATTTTATGTTCTTATTTATTTTTATGTTTTCCTAAGATTATTATTAGCTGTACTTTATCTTTTTACTAGGGTCTCTGTAATATTACTTAGACATAATTCTAGAGCTAACTTCCAAGTATAAAATAATATGAATATGCACTTAGCGAGCTATGTTTACAATATATGGATATATGGGCATATTCTTATTCTTATTTGAAGAATGAATTCTGGTAGGCTCCCATAAAAATATTAGAATAGAAGCCGTCAAGTAGTTTGAGACTCTCTTCTATAGTTACATGTCAGGGTTTATGATACCACGGTGTTTTAAGATTAGATGTGTCACATCAGTTTTACTTTCTGCAATTGATGCTTCCCTCTGGAATGATGTACTTTCTAGTTTCGGTCAAGAAACATAAAATAATTGATTTACTGCCACTGCAATATACTAATTGAGTCTGTTAACATTACTTTAAAAAATGAAGAATGTGTTTTATAGGAATTTTAATATCATTAGTGGGAAATAGAACATGTATTTTAGAAAACCAGAAGACTGAGTTGGCATATATAGCGTTCCTTTTTAGAACGGCTGACACGAGCATCTTGGAATTACACTGTTGGACTCTGTTTCGGCTGTGTTACTGTGTGTTGCAACTTGCATTGATTTTATTTCTTGCACCCACTTACTTTGTAATGTCCATGATTGCCAGTGTGGATTTACTCTTTCTACTCTGTGTGAATCTTGTACATTTTCTGGGTCTACCTGCCTAATTCAGTTTCTTGCATTTTCTCCCTTTACTGCTTGTGCCAATTCAAACCAGAGAGAATTTGTGTTTATAAGCATAAATTACATTAGTACTATCTTACATTGAAAAACTAATGAAAATTAAATGCCACTTGTCATATTCATCTTTTTGTTTTTTAAATTTTATTCATATTGATAAACCATAATTTTATATATGTATGGGGTAAAAGACAATGCTTCAGTACATGTATACATTGTAGATTGAACATCTTCGACTAATTATTATGTCCATCACCTCATATACTTACCACTGCTTTGTGGTGAGAACATGTAAGATCCACTTTTTAAATGATTTTGAAATACACAATACATTACTGTTAACTGTAGTCACCTTGTCCTGCAATAGTTCACCAGAACTTATTCCTCCTGCCTACATGAAACTTTGTACCCTTTGATCAACACTTCTCCTTTCTCCACCCACCCTGCCCCAGTCACTGGCAACTACTATTGTATTCTCTACTTGTAGGAGTTCTAACTTTTAGAACCCACTCATAAGTGGGATGATTCAATATGTTTTCTTCTGTGCCTGGCTTATTTCACTTATCATAATGAAATATCACTTCGTATATTATACATTATGCATTATATTACAATGGTCATTATCAAAAAGATGAAAATTATCAAGCATTGGCCAGGATGTGGAGTAAAGGGAACTCTTATACTCCATTGATGGGAATGTACATTAGCACAGCCATTTTGAAAAACAATATAGAGGTCTCTCCAAAAACTAAAAATAGAATTACCATATGATCTAACAATTCCACTTCTGGGTAGATGCTTACAGGAATTGATATAGGTATGTTGAGGAGATATCTGTGCTTTCATGTTCATTGCAGTATTATTCACAATAGCTAACAATTAGAAACAACGTAAGTGCCCATCAACAGATAAATCGATAAAAGAAAAAGTGGCATATAGTACACAATGGAATAATAATCAGCCTTACAAGAAATGTAATTCTGTCACCTACAACAACGTGAATAAACCTAGAAGACATTATGCTAAGTGAAATATCCTTTTGTTGAATCACACCTGTACATACATATTCTCTCTATAAAATATCTATTAAAAATAAAAATAAAATATCTGTTGATCAATGTGTACTCATAGACTTTTATTTTTGAAATTGTTTCACTTAGCCAAAATAATAATTATTTTTTAAATGATGATAATTGCCCTTTGATGCTCAGAAGGTCACAATTTTAATGTAAAAGTCCTTGTAAGTTCACCCCTGTAAAATAAAGAGGAGCTCTGGGAGTTATACAGTGAATTACAAAAATCATATATATGGCATCTTGATGAATTTTTTCTTCATCAAGAAACTTATGTAAGAGGCATAGCAAGGTCATGCCTTTCTGGGTCTCATTTGTACTGAGTTATTTCTTGGGTGCCTCTGGATCTTTGTGCTAATTCTTCTTGTGGGGGGAAAGCATGTAGAACAATGTTTAAGATATTCTGTTCAGGGAATGGAAAGTGATGAATTTCATCCAGTTAAACATAGGAAAATATTAAAAATTGAGCACAATTCTTCCTAGTTCTAGGAACTATATAGATACTCTTCTATATGTATCAGTTAGCCAAATCTTAGGCTAATGAGGTAGGCTGTTCCTCACTTTATGAAGGTATAGGAGAGGTTTTGGGCTTAAGGTTTATGTTTGTTTTTAATAAGAGAGATAGGAAATTCAATTCAAATTCTTATATATTCAGATGTTTTTGTCCGAAATTTTCCTAATTTTCTTATTGTACATGTCTGTAACTCTCACGTGTCAAGAAGGGGACTGATCACGATAAAGCACAATGGTAACTCTGTTTGAAATACACAACACTCCATCTAAGGTCGTCTTTGTTTCTCCTCTGGTGGAGATAATCTTGATTTATGGGAGAAGTTTTTTCAGAGCCTCTTTCACATCCTTATTCCTTAGGCTGTAGATCATGAGATTCAACATGGGGAATACCACAGTGTAAAATGTAGAAACTATTTTGTCCATATCAAAAGAATAGCTAGATCTGGGGAGAGCGTAGATGTAGAGAATGGAGCCATAGTATAAAGTGACAGAGGTCAGGTGGGAGGAGCATGTGGAGAAGGCTTTGAGGTAGCCCTTGGAGGAGGAGATCCTCAAGACACTGGTGATGATAAAGAGGTAGGAGGCCAGGATGAGCACTGCGGGGCAGATGACATTGGAGGCCAGCAGGAAGTACATCATAATTTTATAGCCGCCCTTCTCGCCACAGGCCAGCTCCACCAAGGGAAGCAAATCACAGAAAAAGTCATCAATGATGTTTTCACGGCAGAAGTTAAAGGAAAACGTTTTCTTGGTGATGATTGAAGAGTTAATAAAGCCACCACAATATGAGACTGCTACCAGCAATGCACACAGCTTTATGGACATGGCCTGGGCATAAAGCAGGGGCTTGGAGATGGCCACGTAGCGGTCATAAGCCACGGCAGCCAGCAGGTAGCACTCACTATAGGCCAGCCCTGCAGAGAAGAAGAACTGACACAGGCAGCCAGCAAAGGAGATGCTTTTGTCTTCAGAGATGCAGGTCACTAGGATCTTTGGGGTGTAGACAGAAGAATACCAGAGATCCAGAAACGACAGATTTCCAGTGAAAAAATACATGGGTGTGTGGAGGCAGGAGTCATTACAGATCAACACGATGAGGGTGCTATTTCCTACCACAGTGAGAGAGTACACGCCCAGGAACACCACGAAGAGGCCCAGCTGCATTCCTGGGTCTGTGGTGAAGCCCAGCAGTATAAACTCAGTCACTGTATGATTGCTCCTCTGCATGGCTGTAAGGAATCTCACCTATGGGGAAAGAAAATGAGCTCAGTTTGCATTACTGTCATGAATATGTAGAATTATGTTACATAAGATCACATTTGCAGTGTTTCGTGAAGTCTAGAACCAACAATCTAATTGTTTGTTTTAGAAAGTCTTCATTTTGCAACAATCAGGCTTTGCAATTATGTATTCAATTCTAAATTTCTTAAGTTGTTTAATTATGTTTTTCCTTTAGGAATGACTGTTCAAGTGAAGAAAAGATGTACTTATAATTGCTATTTTTCTTATACTTTGATCCTCTTCCTTTTGTCAATTTTCTCTTTTGCTAAATGTGTACATTTCTATTTTTAAGTATCACTTGTTTGTCTTTAAAATACTGGGCATCCCTCTTTTAAATATAGTTTAAAAAGAATAAAGTATTTTTCCTCTAGTTTCTATGCATTGAAACATTATGAAAGCATTATAAATTCATATCTCATAATATTATATATAGGCCTAAGAAAATACTAAGAAAAGTATAAAGGGAAAAGAGAATAGATACAATGTTTTGGGGAAAATGTGTACAGAAGAATGATATACAATGATGAAATTACGAAGTACACAGTATTTACTATATTTTACACATATTCTATAATAAACACAATAATAACAATAATTGAAACACCAGTTTTAAATGTAATTTATGTATACTACAGTATTTCTTATGATGACTTGAAAATCTACCCACTCTCTTCAGGATTCTCTTCATATAGAACTACAAATGTTCTATTGAAATGGGTAGAGCAAAATATATCTAGCATACATCTGTCTTACACTGTAAAGACAATTCTTGACAGACTAACTTCTCATTAACCTAAGTCATTTTGTAGGTAAATAAGTTAAAATTCAAGTGTACATGATTTGTATTTGTATGATCTTCCTCTTGGGACCTAGGAAAAACACTCAGTTCACACTCAACTCTCAATATTAGCATTAATAAACATCAATGTTAGTAAACAGTGTTATTTCTGAGTAAATATAGAACAATATAAGATTGTTCCACTTGAGCTTTTGCTACCTCTACTCCATTCAAGTTGCAATGATCTCACATGATTAAACCGAATGATGAAGTTCTCTTCTGATTAGATCTACCTGCAGCGTTTGTCATAGTTTCTCACTCCTTCTCTGCTGGAAAATCTTTACTTGGTTTTCAGGTTGTCATACCTGTCTGGTTTGCTTCTACTTCTCTTGCTGCATGTGTCTCAGTGCTACAGAACAGACTTTTGAACTTTGGAGTGTCCCCAGAATCAGCGCTTGAACCACTGGTCTTCTCCATCTGCCATCAGTTTCTGGTAATCTCATCCAATCTGATGACTTTAAATGCTTCCATATGCACATGACTCCAATGTTACCTCCCCTGACTATGCCTCCTCCCTGAAGTGAGACTCATGGATTCCAATGCCCAATTAATATTTCTTCCCTAATGTCTCCTGGGCATCTTAAGAAAATTGAGTTCACAGGGAATACTGTTTTATCATTGTATTCTAAGAGCTATATTATTTGCTTAAGTGTTATCATTAAGAAAAAAATTTTACTAACAATCCTCCCTAACCTGATCCTCATTCAGTCTTCTCCACTGCAGTAAATGGCATTATTCCATGTTAGGGAGAGTCGTTTTATATTATTCTTGACCACTCTCTTTCTTACACTCTGTCGCTTATTAATTAGCAACATCTCCTAGATTCTACCTTCAAAATGCATCTAGAACATGACTAGTTTCTCCCAGCTCCAGTGTTTTCACTCTACATGGGGCCATGATTGGCCTCTAATTGGTCTTCCTGCTTTTATTCTTATCCCACTTGAGTCTTTCCACATGGCAGCCAAAATGGTCCTGTTAAAATGCCAGTTAGATCATGTTAGTTTTCTCTTCTAAGAACTCCATCCAATGACTTTTCCACTTATTCAGAGTAAAAGTTAGACTCTTACAAAGATGTGCAAGATCTTTGTGCTTTTGCCCTCTTTACTCACTTGCTTGTGTCTCCTACTCTTTTCCTCTTTGTTCAATCCATTCCAAAGGGTTTCTAGAATAACATGGTATGATCTAGAATTCAGTTTCTAGAATAACATAGTATGATTCTATAATTCAGTTTCTAGAATACCATGGTATGAGCAATGCCTTGCCTTCACTCCACGCTGTTGTTGCAATGCTCTTCCCCTTAGGAGTCTTTATAGCCAGTTCCCTCACATTTCTCAGTTCTTAACGGCTTCTAAAGTTGTTCCCTGATCACCATATTGCAACCTACTTCCCTGAAATTCTTATGTCCCTTTCCTACTTCACTGTTGTCTTGTAGCTCTGCTTGTTATCTTATATTACGTCTCATTAGTTTAACTTCTGTTATTTTCCCTTCATTAGAAAATGCTCTTTTTCCATCTGCATTTGTTGGAAAACATGTATCATTTTAATGTTAAATCATTTTGATTTGTAGTTTCATTCTGTGGCCATATGGGCTGTTTGTCTTAAATTGATTACTTCATACAAAATTAGAACAATTTTTTGGATGAGGCAACATCTTTGAAAACATGGAACCAAGGGAACTCCAAGGGGTTTCTTGAAGAAAAAATTTGAAAACTGCTGGACTCAACATCTTCTGATTCTAATATTCTCTCTAATGATGATTCGGGGATTGGATCATTTATAAAAGCAATAACTATCATTTAAGAACACTTCACTCTAAATCTAGTACTGTGCTTAGTGTTTCACATGTTATATTTATTTATTCCTCGCAACACCCATCATAGCTATGTTTCAAGATTAACAGCAATAATTTTACACAAGACCAAATTGAGGTTTAATAAGTAGCTAGTTATTACACAATTGGTAAGTGGTGTTGTCTTTCTCAGAGGATGTAATACTTAACAGTAAGCCACCTTCTTTCATACTTGATGTTAGGTTAGCAGTTGCTGTTGGGCTCCATGGGTCCCCCTCTTTTTGGTTATAACACCTAACCCCAAACCAGTAGGATAATGCTGAGAGATTCACATTTTGTCACTAGTAAGTACTTTATATATGTGAGGTCAATAAATGTTTCCAAGCACTGGCTCAATTGTTTGCTATGTCTCTTATATTTACAGCCAACCTTGAATATGAGTACAGAAGCATTGTGTTATTTCCACTCAGTACCAGAACACTTATCTGCAACTGTCACAGTCACAAACAACAGAGGATCACATGGTGGATCCAGGTGATTTATACCTGTTCAGGGTTCCCAGTGTATTTGATTCCTTAAACACCTCAGGAGTTGATAGTTTTGAAGGTCTCTGAAAAGGCAATTAATAAAAAAAAAAGTGGCTTACTTTATTTTGTTGCTCAGTGCAGAAGAAGGAAATGATTTAAAAATAATGATAATAACTGTTATATATTGGGAATCTATTCTTTGCAAAATGCCCCCCTGGGAATTTTCTTTGTTAAATAATTCTTTGAAGTACGTATTACAGTTCATATTCCAGACAAGAAAATATATCTAGACCAGCATTAACTTGCCCAAAGTAAATTCAGAAGTAAGTGAAATTAGGATTTGAACCCAAGGCAATCTCATTATAGAATTCATGGTTTTTCCCCTACACCAATGGCGCTTTAGAGAAGCATAATCTTTGATTATCAATTTACTTATTACTACATGCCTTTACAAATGGATTTTACTTATCCTGAGTGTCCAGAGAGGTATATTTTGCAAGAAACATATGCATTCTCAGTTCTCGACTCATTACTTAATTTTGAAGTGACAAGAAAATTATCATATTAGCTAATGTGACAACTTTGGTTAATGTGGCAATTTTAACCAAGGTGTCACACTGGCTAAAACAACTTGTCAGCTTTCCCCATAGTAATATTTATTGAGCATGTATTATGTGCCAGATACCCTGCTAAGTGATTTAAGTGTCATCTCATTTAGACTTCAAAATAATCTTGTAATTATGGTTCTTATTTTACAGATGAGTTACCTGAGACATAAAAATGATTGTACATACATTGTTCAAGGGCATAATATTAAAAGTGGCAGAGCCATGATTCAAAACCAGTCTTTCTAATGCTCATCACTTGTCCCAAGAACTGCATATCTTTCTAGAATTACTGTGTTCTAGATACTCTGAAAGGCACTGGGGACAAGAGATAAGACTAAAGCATGGGTTCTAGTCCCAAGGAGGAGGTAGTTTATCGGGAGAAATGAAATTTTTTTGAAAACAGCTACTGCAATAGGTCTTGAGAAAATTTTCATACCAGATGGTGGGAAGCAGGCCAGAGTGGAGACCCTGCTGGGAGTGGCAAGATCAGCATTTTGTGTGCTATGAGAGGTTTTACATAGGAGGAGAAAACATGCCTCTATGCTTGAAAAATGTGTGAGCTCTTTCCCCATTTTTTTTCTATTAAAAAAAAAGAAGATCTCTGACTCTAGTAACTTTCATTGGCTCACCAAAAACAATTCCTATCAGACTAATCTCACTGCTTTGAGAGGGTTATTTGGTGGAGCAGGAAAATAAGTGTCTGTAGACTTCAGGAAGGCACATGATACACAATAACTTTGTATGTCAAGTTTATCCCTTTTATAGAAAAAAGACATCTGCCCCATGTGGTAGGAAGGCATTCTGGCAAAAGAAACCACAACTTTCAAGGTGCAGAAGCAGTCAGTGGAGTGTAGGGTGGAGGAATGGTTGGAAATTTGTCAGAGCTGCCTGGTGTACCGAGTGTATTGAAGGAAACAATAGGAATGAGGTTAGATGAGATCATGAATAATTTTTTAGGCTATACTCAGAATATTGTTGGAGATGGTATTAATCATGTTATTTTTAAAATTTTCTGTATTTTATGATACTTTAACATCTTGGGGGCCTTACTAATCCTCAAGACTGCTCCTCCTGGAGCCAGCTAATTCTTAGATATAAAAATCAGCATGTCCCAGTGAATGCTTCTGATATGCAAACCAGTCAATCCAAAGCCCATGTGCCCTTCACCTCCTTTATCTTACTCACACATACACAAAGCCAATATTTCTTCTGCCCTAAATCACTCCAGGGCCAGGTACCTCACAACTAGAAACCACCCCTATAGTCCAGAGCATGTGGAAAGTATTCAAATTATTCAATTCAAAACTTGCTCAAACTTACCTACCCTGCCTTGCCCATTCCTCCACACAGAAGCCCCAACAAGGGCTTTGGGCTCTTTTGCCTCCTGACCAAACCTGGTGTTTACCCACGTGGTCTCGCATCATATGGCCCTGTGTGTGTGGGATGGGAGGGAACTATTAGTAATAAACATTTCTACATTTCTTTTAAAGGCAGTTGTCTCCATGTCTGTCACCTACCATACCTAATTAAATCTCAGGTACATATCAAATCAGAGATAATGGCTTATACTTCATCAGTGTTAAATAGCTTGAAACTTCAGGTGGTATGGCAAATAGTGCAGTAGGACTGGGGGGCAACTAGCACTAAACAGATCAATGCATGCACAGCCAGCCTCCATAATGGATGTATAAACACTCCACTCTACCCCTTCTCCAGATCAGAACACTCACCTCTAACACCATAGTTCTATAATGGACTCCTAGACCATAGATCCTGAAAACGTTAATATTGTCACTGAGCTCACCCTCTGTATCAGAAGTGCTTGAAAATTTCATGGCTTAGATCATTCTGGAAAACCTGATTAGGCCACACAGTTATTCACGGAATCAGGTTAGGCTTATTTCCTAATAACAAAATTACTCATAATGAATTGGAGATAGAGAAAGAGGAAAAAGAAGAAATATATGTCCTAAGCAAGGCACTGTACTAGCTACTTTAGACATATCATTTTCACTCTTTATAACAATGATGAGGTAGATAGCTGTTATGGACTAAATTGTGTCCCTCCAAAATTCACATTTTAAGGCTCCCCAGTGTGACTTCATTTGGAGATAGGGTTTTTAGGGGAAAATTGAGTTAAATGAGGTCATAAGATGGGATCCCAATCCTATAGGATTGATGGGCTTGTAAGAAGAGGAAGAGAGAGAAACCTCTTTCTTTCTCTGCCATGTGAGGACACAGTAAAGAGGTGACCATCTGCAGGCCAGCAAGTCATCCTGCCTAGAATTTTTTTCATCCCTTTCAGTTGCTCAAGAATATGTAGCCTTCTCCCTGTGGTCTTCCCCAACCATCCCTGTTAAAATTGTGCCTCCTTTCACACCCTCAGCACCCTCTAGCCTCCTTCCCTGCTTATTATTCTCCAGAGCACTTACTCTTTGGCTCACTGTGTAGTTGACTTATTTATCTTATTTGCTATCTATCCCCATCCACTAGGATGCCAGTTCAAGAAGAGCATGTTTTGTAGTTTGTTTTGTTCACTTATTGTTTTAATTGTATGGTTTTATTTTCCACCCGTTCATTTAACACAAATTGCCCCTTTCACCACAAATAGTAGATGCAGTTAAATCTATCTTTTCACTCTCAGCAGTTTCAGAAGTTGCCATAGAATAATGGTGAGGTATGAAAACGAGGCTTTGTGGTTCCTGTAACATAACAGAATGTAAATGGATGTTGAGTTATTGTGGGACTAAAGACTAAAGCAATATTTCTATGTCACTGGCAATAACTGACTCATACAATTGGCCAAAATTTGCAGCAAACACCTCATTCCCATATTCTAACATTAAAATCAGCTAGTTTCAGAATCTTTTATAAAGATGATTAGATCCCAAGTGTTTATAGTCATGGACTTCCTCATGGTTTTATAGCTTGAGAAAGTGGCAAATAAAGCAATTAAACAGAACGAGGCAATATCAATTAAAAGCTAAACATTTCCAGAGGTTGCATGATACACTAAAAATATGGATGGAGAGAGGAATTGGGACTATATGGAATAAGGACATTAAGCAGCCAAGGGGAGAGCTAACAACAACAACAACAACAACAAATCCTTGCATGTAGAGAGAATCTCTAACTTCCTCTTCGGCTTCGGAAGAACCCAGCTTACCCTTGGACAAAAGTCTCCCGAAGACTGCACTTAGAGAGTTGCCTCATAAGTGAATAAATTCTCTTTAGCACTTAATTGTATCCCTCCAAATTGTTTTTGTAGTGAAGCCTAAATATTACTACCACAAATAAAGGAATTTGAGAATTGCTCTTATGGAAAATATATACTAAAAGAGTTATGGAATCTTACCAAATTATATTAGCAGGAGTCTAGAAAATATGTGTGAGATTGGACTCTAAGGCAGTAAACCAAGGAGAATAAAATGTAAAAATTAATAAAGCCAAATGTATCAACACAGTGCACCCACATAAAACTCAGATTTTTTTCCTCTCAAGTTCCTGGAGGATCTTAATATACAAGTCTGTTAGAATTTCTCTTTAGTTTCTATCAAAAATAGCCAGAAGCTTTTGGTCTTGACATATTGGAGAAAATAGCATGCCTTTACTTTCTTTCATTTGGATCTATTGATCTTTTGTTCTTTGTGATTAAATAGTTTGGGGGGACTTTGTTTCCATAGCTTATGGAACATTAAGGGAAGTTGTGAAGAAATTGGTGTCTTGATCATGTACTTAGAGAAAAAAAGAATACTGGAAAATTGGTAACAAGGAAATATGTGGAGGAGTTAATGTAGGTGATGTTCTCAGCATATGTACAGGTGTAAAATTAACTTTGTTATGTTTTGTGATAACTGTTATTGTTATTAGTATTTATCAATGATGATAATTACCTCCTATTCTTTGTAGAACTCCTAATTTTGCTGAGACTATTTGGAAAACACAGTTCTTTACATTTATTACTTACTGCTCATGTCAATAAAATATGGGTATATATTTATTTGGATTTCTATATATTTGTATATCCTGCATATATATTTAATCATGTCACTATCTTACATTTAAAATCCAATCAACATGAAACAATCTGTTATATTTATCCTCTTTTGTTTTATCAGTACTTTCTTATATTCTTTATGGTACTTTTTTGTTTTTGTTGAATATCCTTGAATCCTTGTCTTTCATTGTTTCAATATACTGCAATTAGAAATGCATATTATTTTGTTATTATCATGATTTCTTTGGCACTCAGAATGTCACAGCTTCACCAGGAAAAATTCCATAAGTTGACTCCTTTAGTCTCTGCCCTTATCATTTGTAGAGGCTTTGATGTTTTCTAGACACAACAGAATGTGGGAAGCACATGTTATTTATTTTCTTACTTGGAAATGTAGATTCAGCTATCTTCTAAGAATTCCCTATTCTTTTAGGGGGGCAATAATATTGGGGGTACAAACCTATGTCCAAGGCATGCACATGCATAATATTAAGAAGCACATAGGATTGTCTTCTTTTAGCATGGAAAGATTTTGGTCTGGTGTCTCCACCCTGTTTCATAGCAGTAACCAGTGAGTTGTCTCACTGAGCAGAAACAGAATAAACTAGAAAAATAGTCTGGGGTAGGTATAGAGATGAAACTCTAGTGAAGGACAGTGTGAAGATATTTATGATTCCATTGTAAATGTTCACTAAAGGACATCAATTGCAGAAAAAAGAAATTCAGTAATGAGATGGACTAGAAGACACACACTGAGGTAGCTGGTAAGTCTCTTTCCTTCTCCATATCCCTATACCTAAATAGTATGCCCATGACAAATTAGCCATGGGAACAAAGCTGGAGGGCATGGAAGATTGGTTTCCTTTTCCTTCTTCCAATTTAGCCATCTTTTTTTTTTTTTTTTTTTTTTGAAGTTAACTCATTTTATTTCTAGGATTTGGATTTCAACATTTTAATTTCTTTGGAATATAAGTCACTTTTTGCAAGCTAAAAAATAGAATCAAACTAAGGCGATCTAGTCCTCTAGGCATCCAGGCTGATCCTTGGAATCATGAGCAGAATGATGACATACTACAAGGTGCTAGCAATAGGGCTATAAACTCTAAATAATAACCACTAATGTACATGTTTCATTAGGAAATAGCCAAAAGTCCGGCCGTTAAAGGAATAATCTGCAGAACATCTTGATTTACAAGGGACAAAATGATGCAAATTATATGCTGTCCAACCTACTGGTGAACTGGATCAGAATGGGCCAAGGGCTGTTAAACACAGAAAGTATTTACATTTTGAAAACTTGCTCTGCAGGATAAAAAAATTCCTGGTTGCTGTCAGTAAGAAAGCAAGTAAAAAAATATTACAGATGAACTCACTGATCTTTGATTTTACTAAGGTCTTCCACTGGAACATGAAGGTAGAGATAAGTGTACAGGATAATATACTCTGATATTTTTAAAATAAATTACTTAATAATAAGAAATTAGCCATACTACATTCTTCCATTTGCTACAAGAACAAATTGGCAATGAAGACTATTTAAAAGAAATGCTCAGCTCTGCAGAGGGTGGTGGCAGGCAACACTTTTCCATTACAGAATAACCTCTATTCTACCATGATACATATTCCTGCGGAAAAACTTGTCAGGGCCAAGGGATGAAAAACAGAGCATGTCCTAATTAGCTAACTGTAGGTTCACTTAACATCTTTGGGAAGGACCCAAAAAATCTGGCTATTATTTTCTTAAACATCTGCAAGCTGCAGAATTCCTTAGTCCTCAGCTATAGTTTCTGCTAGATATCTTAAAGCTGGGACAGTTCCACTGTGACTCTTCTCCTCAGCTATGGGGTGGGTGCTAGTCATCAAAGTCTGGAATGTCATCATAGGAGTAACCACGGTAGCCTTTGGATGCATAGTAAGGGATGCGCAGGTGGTAAAATACGGGTAGGAATACCAGAATGCCAATGATCAGGACTGGAACGGCCCGGTCTGCCCCGCCTTTGCTGATGTAGCCTGACAGCATGAGGGAGCCTATAATAATGAGAAAGGTGCCAATCAAAAACAGCACAGTGGCAAGTGAGATGGCCTTATAAGGGATCTTAGAGGGGTTTTCTTAAACTGAAGGTCAATGTAGCCATCGTCTGTGCTGGAGAGCCTTGAATATTTCACTTTACTACTGGGGATTCCAGTAGCCAGGTTGGTATGGGACGGCATCATAACACGCTGACACAGCGGAGCGCCGCGCCAGGCCGCCCGCACACCCAGAGCTCGCCCACGGTTGGCAGCGCCCAGGGTTGCATGGCATGGCCCGCTTAAGTGCCACTCAGCCGGCCCCAGCCGGGATCAGTGCGCCGGAAGTCCAATTTAGCCATCTTTTTGAAGACAATTCTAAGCAGAGTCACCACCAACTCTTCCTACCTAATGGTACCATTGTTCTATTTTTGTGTTCTCTAAAGTCTGTTTTCCTCATGACAGCCACAGCGACTTTAGATCACAAATTAGGTCATAGTTTATTTTTTCTAAATCCTCATATATAGTTAGAATAAAAACCAAACTTCTTACTGTGATCTCAATTTGTGCTACTCAAAGTGTAATTCAAAAGCCAGAATCATGAGTATCAGGTGGTATCCTGTTTGAAAGGAAGACTCTCAGGCCTACCCCAGAACTACTGAATTAGAATTTGTATTTAAACAGGAAACTTATGTTATTCATATGCATATTAAAATTTGAGGATTACTGGTCTGGAAGGCTCTGCATAATTTATTCCTTGCATACCTTTCTTTTTGTAAAAAAAAATATATATATGTGTTTGTATACTTATATGAAGCGAACTAAATGAACTAAGAAAAGCATATAGTTCAATGAACTTGCACAAATTAAACACATCCTTATGACATACTCATAGATAAAATAAAACATTACTCCATCCTTAAAGCCATATCAATCCCACTTTCTAGTAACTTCCCATCCCCCCACCAAATCATTATCTTAACTGTTTTTAAATTTTATCTTATCTGTTTTTAAATTTTATCTAAGGAAAAAATTAGTCTTATCTGTTTTTAAATTTTATCTAAGGAAATCAAACACTATATACTTTCTTTTTCTTTAATGCAAGATCATATTTGTGAAATTCCTTTGTAGTCTTGTATGCTATCATTATTTATTCATACTTATTGTTTAGTATTTCTTGTTTGGAAATACCACAATGTACTTATCTATTCTATTTTTGATGGTTATTTGAGGAGATTTTTAGTTGGGAACTGTTATGAAAACTGCGTGCATTCTGGTACTTGTATTTTGCTGCCTTTCTGTTGTGTGTATATTTAGTAATAGAATGGCTGGGTCACTCAACTTTAGTAATACTGACAAATAATTTGCTGGAGTAATTGCAGTAATTTTTACTGATGAGAGCATCAACAACATACATGACTTCTAGTTGTTCTAGATCCTTACCAAAACAACTTAGGTTTTTTTTTGTCTTTTTAATTTTAGTCATTTTCATTGGCATGTAAAGTTATTTCATTTTTAAAAGATTTTATTTTTTTAGAGCAGAATTCAGTTCCAGGAAAAAATGAAAGGAAAGTATAGAGATTTCCTGTATGCCCCTTGCTCCGACACATGCCTTTATAAATGAAAGCAATGAAAGACAAGCCACATACTGGGAGAAAATATTTGTCAAAAGCATATCACATAAAAGACTGTGGACATCAGTGGTTGCCAAAGTGGTTATAAAAGGCATATCTCATAAAGGACTGTCACATTCCCCTTTACAAACATCCCCCACCAGAGTGTTACATTTATTTAAAATTGATCAACCTACATTGACACACCATTATCACCCAAGGTCACAGTTTATGTTAGCTTTCACTCTTGGTGTTGCATACTGTGTGGGTTTGGACAAATGTATAATGACATCTGTTCATCACTCTGTCATTATTCAGAGATTTTTTGATTATCTTAAAAGTCCTCTCTTCATCACTATGTTATTATTCAGAGTTTTTTGATTATCTTGAAAGTCCTCTGTATTTTGCCTATGCATATGTTTCCTCTAACCCCTGGAAACCACAGACTTTTTTTTTTTTTTTTTTACTGTGTTTTTACAGTTACCTTTTCCAGAATGTCATATAGTTAAAATCATACAGCACATAGCTATTTCAGATTGGCTTCTTTCTCTTAGTAACATACATTTAGGTTCCCTCCATATCTTTTAATTGCTTGATAGCTTATTTCTTTTTAGTGCTGAATAATATTTCATTATATGGATGTATCACCATTTGTTTATTCATTAACCTACAAAAGGACATCTTGGTGGTTTCCAAGGTTTTGCAATTATATATAAAGCTACTATAAACATTCATGTTCAGTTTATGTGAACATAAGTTTTCAGCTCCTTTGGATAAATACCAAGGAGTTTGACTGTTGAATTGTGTGGTAAGAGTAAGTTTAGTTTTGTAAAAAATTGCCTAACTGTCTTCCACAGTGATTGTATCATTTTGCATTCCCACTAACATTGAATGAAAGTTCCCGTTTCTCCAAATCCTCACCAGCATTTGATGTAGTCAGTGTTCTAGATTTTGGCCATTCAAATTAGTGTGTACTGGTATCTTTCCAGTTTTAATTAGCATTTCCCTGATGACATATGATTTGAACCTTCTCTTTATATGCTTATTTGAAATCTGTCTGTATTTTTGGTGCGGTGTCTGTTAAAATCATTAGCTTATTTGTAAATCAGATTGTTTTCGTATTGTTAAATTTTAAGACTTCATTGTATGTCACAGTCCTTTATGAGATATACCTTTTACAAGTATTTTCTCCCAGCATGTGGCTTGTCTTTACATGATTTTCACATCATATTTTGCAGTGCAGAAATTTTTAATTTTAATGAGATCTAGGTTATTAATTCTTTCATAGATTGTGTATTTAGTGTCATTCATAAAGTCATTGCCAAACTCTATGTCATTTAGGTTTTTTGTATGTTATCTTTTATGAATTTAATAGTTTTGCATTTTACATTTAGGTCTCTGATCCATTATGAGTTAATTTTGTGAAGGGTGTAAGATCTGTGTCTAAATTCATTTTTTTACATGGATGCCTGGTTGTTCCAGCACCATTTGTTGAAAGTCTATCTTTCTTGCACTGTATTATCTTTATTCTTTTGACAAATATCAGTTGAACACACACACACACACACACACACATACACGTGTGTGTGTATATAAATATAAATATATATATATATACATATATGATATATAAAATATTAGGGATGGTGTCTCATCCTGGAGTGATCATACCTCCCAGCAGCCTTGAACTCCTGGGCTCTTGGGCTCAAGTGATCTTCCACCTTAGGTTCACGAGTAACTGGGACAATAGCGACGTTCACATTTCTTCTTCCCTTCTTCCTTCCCCCTCCTACCCCTCCTCCTCCTTCTTCTTCTTCTTCTTTTAGAGGTGAGAATCTCATCTGTTGCTCAGGCTGGGTTTGACTTCCTGGTAATGGCTGTAATAACAGCAATTACTCCAGCAAGAACCTCCAGCCTCAGGTTCTTGAGTAGTTGGGATTGCAGGCATGAGACCCCTCAACAGCTTGCAGTTGACTATATTTAATATGGTGTATTTCTGGAATCTCTAGTCTGTCTCATTGATCTCTTTGTCTATTCTTCACACTCCATTGATTACTATAGCTTTACAGTGAGACTTAAACACAGATATGCCAGTCTCCAACTTTGCTATTTTCCTTCAATATTGTGTTGGCTATTTTGGTCCTTTGCTTCTCCAAATAAACTTTAGAATTGTTTGCTGATATCCACAAAATAACCTGCTGTAACTTTGATTGGGATTGCATTGTATGTATGGATAAATTTGGGAGGAACTGACATGTTAATAATATTGAGTCTACCTATCAACATGGAATATTTCTACATTTATGTAGGTTTCTTTTGATTTTTTTTTTGCAGTGTGGCTTATTTTATTTTGCTTTATTTTACTTTAATTTTTTATTTCCATAGGTTTTCGGGCAACAGGTGGTATTTGGTTACATGACTAAGTTCTTTAGTGGTGATTTGTGAGATTTTAGTGCACCCATCACCTGAGCAGTGCACACTGAACCCAATTTGTACTCTTTTATCTGTCCCCTCACTTCTATCCTTTACCCCGTCGCCAAAGTCCATCATATCATTCTTATGCCTTTATATCCTCATAGCTTAGCTCCCACTTATAAGTGAGAACATACAATGTTTGGTTTTCCATTTCTGAGTTACTTCACTTATAATAATAGTCTCCAGTTCCATCCAGGTTGCTGCAAATGCCATTATTTCATTCCTTTTTATGGATGAGTAGTATTCCATTATATATATCACAATTTCCTTATACATATATTCTTTATATATATCACAATATCTTTGTCCACTCATTGATTGATGGGCATTTGGGCTGGTTCCATATTTTTGCAATCGTGAATTGTGCTGCTATAAACATATGTGTGCAAGTATCTTTTTCATATAATGACTTCTTTTCCTCTGGTTAGATACCCAGTAGTGGGATTGCTGGATCAAATGGTAGTTCTACTTTTAGTTCTTTAAGGAATCTCCACACTGTTTTTCATAGTGACGGCACTAGTTTATATTCCCACCAGCAGTGTAGTCGTGTTCCCTTTTCACCCATTCATGTCGACATCTATTATTTTTTTATTATGGCTATTCTTGCAGGAGTAAGGTGGTAGCACATTGTGGTTTTGATTGGCATTTCCATGATCATTAGTGATGTTGGGCATTTTTTCATATTTTTGTTGGCCATTTGTACATCTGACAAAGGACTAATATCCAGAATCTACAAGGAATTCAAATAAATTAGTAAAGAAAAAATAATCTCATCAAAAAGTGTGCAAAAGACATGAATAGACAATCCTTTGACTGATCAGAGTTTTGTCATTTTTCCTCATATAGATCTTATAGATACTTTATAGGAGTCATACCTTTTTCATTTATTGTGAGTATTAATGTACAATATTTTGAGTTTTTGATTTCAAATTCCACTTATTCATTCATTGCTGTTACATAGCAAAGTGATTGACTATTTATTAACTTAATATACTTCAATTGAATTCTAATCACCTATTACTTCCAGCACAAACTTATTAGTTTGTGAACAATTTCCTATTTCCTACACAGATAATCGTGTCATCTGAAAACAGACACTTTCATTTCTTCCTTCCCAATCAGTAAACGTTTTAGTTCTCTTTTTTGTTTTATTGAATTAGCTGAGATTTTTAGTGTAATGTTGAAAAAGTCTTGTTTCTCTTTTAGCATTAAAAAATCATCTAATTTTCCTTTTATTGTTTTTCTTTCTCTCCTTCATTTTCTAGCCACACTACTGTTTTATGGGCCTTTCTCTGCCTACTGTTCATATCTGAGTTTTGCACTAGGGACTGCTTTCCCCAATATTCACCACTTAGCTGCTTATTATTTGGGTATCAACCCAAACATCATCTACTTACAGATTCCTTTCTGACCACTCAAGCCAAAGCAACCCCTTTTCCTGAGTTAGGCCTGTTTATTATAACCAATTTCATTTTGTTCTTGAAATTTATAAGTAACTATTTTATTTTTTGCTAGTTTATTGCCTATTAGTTCAATATTAATTTCTGCTCTTTTTGCCACTGCTTAAACCTCAGCACCTAGAAGAATGCCTAACACATAGTAGGCCTTCAATAAATAATTGTTGCCTGAGTGACTTCCTTGACAAACAGGACTTGTTTGGGGCAATTAATACCAAAGGCTGGGTTTCATTCATGGCCCTTAGGTACTAAGTAATGTCTACAAGCATAAAAATGGTCAAGCTTTGCTCACGATGGGATCATATTACCTTAGGAACCACACTGGTTCAAGGAACCTAGCCCTTGGGCTGACCATGACCTAGAGAGTGTACATTTTAATGTGAGAAAGCTTCAAGTGCTTTTCTTTATATATATATTATACTTTAAGTTCTAGGGTACATGTGCACAACATGCAGGTTTGTTACATATGTATACATGTGCCATGTTGGTGTGCTGCACCCATTAACTTGTCATTTACGTTAGGTATGTCTCCTAATGCTATCCCTCCCCACTCCCCCCACCCCACAACAGGCCCCAGTGTGTGATGTTCCCTTTCCTGTGTCCATGTGTTCTCAATGTTCAGTTCCCATCTACGAGTGAGAACATGTGGTCTTTGGTTTTTTGTCCTTGTGATAGTTTGCTGAGAATGACGGTTTTCCAGCTTCGTCCATGTCCCTACAAAGGCCACGAACTCATCCTTTTTTATGGCTGCATAGTATTCCATGGTGTATATGTGCCACATTTCCTTAATCCAGTCTATCATTGATGGGCATTTGGGTTGGTTCCAAGTCTTTGCTATTGTGAATAGTGCCACAATAAACATACGTGTGCATGTGTCTTTATAGCAGCATGATTTATATTCCTTTGGGTATACACCCAGCAATGGGATGGCTGAGTCAAATGGTATTTCTAGTTCTAGATCCCTGAGGAATCGCCACACTGTCTTCCACAATGGTTGAACTAGTTTACAGTCCCACCAACAGTGTAAAAGTGTTCCTATTTCTCCACATCCTCTCCAGCACTTGTTGTTTCCTGACTTTTTAATGATTGCCATTCTAGCTGGTGTGAGATGGTATCTCACTGTGGTTTTGATTTGCATTTCTCTGATGGCCAGTGATGATGAGCATTTTTTCATGTGTTTTTTGGCTGCATAGATATCTTCTTTTGAGAAGTGTCTGTTCATGTCCTTCGCCCACTTGTTGATGGGGTTGTTTGTTTTTTTCTTGTAAATTTGTTTGAGTTCATTGTAGATTCTGGATATTAGCCCTTTGTCAGATGAGTAGGTTGCAAAAATTTTCTCCCATTTTGTAGGTTGCCTGTTCACTCTGATGGTAGTTTCTTTTGCTGTGCAGAAGCTCTTTAGTTTAATTAGATCCCATTTGTCAATTTTGTCTTTTGTTGCCATTGCTTTTTGTGTTTTAGACATGAAGTCCTTGCCCATGCCTATGTCCTGAATGGTAATGCCTAGGTTTTCTTCTAAGGATGTTGAATTTTATCAAATGCCTTTTCAGCATCAGTTGAAATGATTGTATGACTTTTGTCCTTAATTCTGTTGATATGATGTAGCACACTGGTTGATTTGCATTTTTCAAACCATTCTTGCATCCCTGAGATGAATCCCACTCTGTCATGATGAATGACCTTTTTAATGCGTTGTTGAATTCAGTTTGCTAGTATTTTGTTGAGAAGTTTTGCACCACTGTTCTTCAGAGATATTGATTTGGAGTTTTCTTTTTTTGATGTGTCTTTGTCTGTTTTTATTTTTGTTTTGGCAGTGTTTTTAGGTTTTTCCAAATATAAGATCTGATCAGCACAAACAAAAATAATTTGACTTTTTCAATTCCAATTTGTCTGATCCTGTCTTTGTCAGGGTTATACTGGCCTCATAAATGAATTTGGAAGTAATTCCTCCTCTTCTATTTTTTAGAATAATCGGAGTAGATTTGGTATTAATTATTCTTTAAATATTTGTAAAAATTCAGCAGTAAAGCCATTGGGTCCTTGGCTTTTCTTTGCTGGGAGACTTTTTATTATTGCTTTGGTCTCATGACTTGCTATTGGTCTATTCAGGTTTTGGATGTCTTCATGGTTCAATCGTGGTAAGTTGTATGTATCTATGAATTTATCTATTTCTTCTAGGTTTTCCACTTTGTTGGCACGTAGCTGTTCATATTGGTCTCTAATGATATTTTGAATTTCTGTGGTATCAGTTTTAATGTTTCCATTTTCATCTCTGATTTCATTTATCTAGGTAGTCTCTCTTTTTTTTTTCTTAGTCTGGCTAAAGTTTTGTTGATTTTGCTTATTTTTTCAAAAAAACAATTTTTTATTGCATTGATTTTTGCATTTTTTTTGTTTCAAGTTCATTTATTTTTACTCCGACCTTTTTTTCTTCCACTGATTTTGGATTTGGTTTGCTCTCATTTTTCGAGTTCTTTAAGATGCATCATTAGGTTGTTTATTTGAAGGTTTTCTACTTTTTCAATGTAGGTGCTTATTGCTATAAACTTTCCTCTTGGAACTGCTTTTGCTGTATTCCACAGGTTTTAGTATGTTGTTACCATTTTAATTTGTTTCAAGACATTTTAACATTTCCTTATTAATTTATTTCCTCACTGTTCATTTAGAAGCATATTGTTTAATTTTCCATGTGTTTGTCTATTTTCCAAAATTTCTCTTTTTGTTATATCTAGCTTTATTTTATTGTGGTCAGAGAAAATACTTGATATAATTTTTTTAAATGAAATTTTTAATACTTGTTTTGTAGCCTAACAACTGATCTTTCTTGAGAATGATCCAGGTGTTGAAGAGAATATGTATACTGCAGCTGTTGGATACTTCTCTAAGTATCTGTGAGGTCCATTTGGCGTATAGTGCAGATTAAGTTTGATGTTTCTTTGTTTATTTTCTGTCTGGAAGATCTGTCCAGTGCTGAAAGTGGAGTGTTGAAGTTTCCAGCTATTATTGTATTGGGGTCTATCTCTCTCTTTAGCTCTAATAATAGTTACTTTAAATATCTAGGTGCTCCAGTACTGTGTATGCATATACATTTAAAATGGTCAAATCTTCTTGCTAAATTGACCCCTTTATTTTTATATTATGAGGTTCTTTGTCTGTTTTTATAGTTTTTGCCCCTTAATCTATATTGTCTGGTATTAGTTACTCCTACTCTTTTTTGATTTCCATTTGAATGGAATATCTTTTTCCACCCCTTTCTTTTCAGTTTATGTGTGTCTTTATAGGTGAAGTGTATTTCTTGTAGGCAGTAGATTGTTTGGTCTTGTTTTTTTAATCTATTCAGCAACTTTACGTGTTTTGATTGGAGGGGTTATCCCATTTACATTCAGTGTTATTATTGATTAGTAAAGACTTACTATTGTCATTTTGTTATTATTTTTTTTTCTGGTCATTTTGTGGCCTTCTCTTCTTTCTTTTCTTCCTTCATGTCCTCCTTTATGTGAAAGTGATTTTCTCCATTTTAATTTCTTCTTTTTTATATTAGGTGTGTGCATGTGTTGTAGGGCTTTTGATTTGAAGTTACCAGGATGCTTGCAAATAGCATCTTATAAACCATTATTTTAAACTGATTACAACTTTACTTTGATTGCAAAAACAAACAAATGAACAAAGAGAAGACTAGTAAAAACTCTACACTTTAGATAGATCTACTTTACTTTTTAAATTTATGTTGTTTCCATTTGTATCTTTTTATTCTGTCTATATCTTTAAAGGCGGTTGTAATTATTTTGATAGGTTCATCTTTTAGTCTTTGCATTAGCCCTTTCTTGCATTGCTTTAAAGAACTACCTGACACTGGGTAATTTATAAGGAAAAGAGATTTAATTGATTCATAGTTCCAGAAGCTGTACAAGAAGCATGGCTAGGGAGGCCTCAGGAAACGTACAATCATGGCAAAGTTGAAGAGGAAGGAGGTAAGGCACATCTTACATGGTTGGAGAAGGAGGAATTGAGAGAGAAGGGGGAAGGGCTACACACTTTTATAAACAACCAGATCTCATAAGAACTCACTCGCTATTATGAGAACAGCAAGAGGAAAATCCGCTCCCAGGGTTCAATCACCTCCCACCAGGCCCCTCTTCCAACATTGTTATATCATCTTCTTGTACTTTAATATTGATATCTTTCTCTAGGTTTAGAAAGTTTTCTACTCTTATCTCTTTGAATATACTTTTTATCCTGATCTCTATACATCCTCCTAAGGCAAACAACTCTTAGATTTTCCCTTTTGAGGTTATTTTCTAGATTCTGCAGGTGTGCTTCACTTTTTAAATTCTTTGTGTCTTTTGTCTCCTTTGTATATTTTCAAATAGCTTGTCTTCAAGCTCACTAACTCTTCTGCTTGATCAGTTCTACTGTTGAGAGACTCTGACTCATTCTTTAGTTTGTTGATTAAATTTTTTCAGCTCCAGAATTTCTGCTTGATTTAGTAAAGTGATTTCAACCTCTTTGTTAAGTTTATCTGATAGAATTCTGAATTCCTTCTTTGTATTATCTTGAATTTCATTCAGCTTCATCTAAACAGCTATTTTGAATTCTCTGTCTGAAAAGTCACATCTCTCTGTTACTCTGGGATTGGTAATTGATGCCTTATTTAACTTGTTTGTTCAGGTCATGTTTTCCTGGATGGTCTTGATGTTTGTGGAAGTTCATCAATATCTGGGAATTGAAGAGCTAGGTATTTATTATAGTCTTCACAGAATGGGCCTGTTTGTATCCAACCTTATTGAGAAGGCTTTTCAAGTATTAAAAAAAAATGAGTGTGGCAATCTACATTTTTGGTCATTGGAGCCATATCTGCATTATGGACACCCTAAGCCCAGTAATGCTGTGACTCTTGCAGACTCTTAGAGGTACTATCAAGCTGGTCTTGGGTAAGATTCAGACTTCCCTGTATTACCAGGCAGGGCCTCTTATCCTCTTCTCTTACTTTCTCCCAAACAAAGAGAATCTCTGTATACATACTGAGCTGCCTAGTTGGGATAGGGGTGATATAAACACTCCAGTGGCCCCCACAGCTGGGAATGCACTGGGTCACACCTGAAGTGAGCATGATACTTGATCTCATTCAAGGCTCCTGGCAACTACCGCCTAGCTAGTGCTGATGTTTATTCAAGGCCTTAGGATGCTTTTGTTATCAGGCAGTGAATTATGCCAGGACTGGGTTCTTTCCTTCAGGATAGCGGGTTAATTTCTAGCCTAGAACAGGTCTAGAAGTGACTCCCAGGAGCTAGGGCCTGGAATGAGGGCTTCAGGAGTCTCTTTGATACTTTTACTCTGTCTAAGCTGGTGTGAAAATTGCAAAACAGAATCCTCTTTACTCTTTCCTCTTTTTTTCTTTTTTCTCAAGCAGAAGGAGTCTCTTCTGGTGCTGTGAGCTGTGCTGCCCGGAGTTGGGGAAAGTGATGCAACCACTCTCTTGGCTGTTCTAGCTGGAGTCTTAGTGAATTGCATGTGCCCCAAGTCTACTGGTTCCAAGCCCACCATATCACCAGGACTTGCCCAGAAATTACAGTCTTTGTGGCCTAGGCTGCCTTTCAAGTTTATTTAGAACCCCAGAGCCCTTTAATCTGCGGTGGTGGAGCTAGCTGGAACTCACATTCTGAGCATTGGAATGAAAGACTCCCCTCTCTGCCCAGGGTTAGTCTAAATGCTGTCTTTATGGGCATTGGCTGAATCCTGCCCTGTGCTGCATTCCTCTGTGACTGGGCAGCACTGAGTTCTAATGTAAAGTACCACAATCACTTTGCTTTTCCTCCAAACATGGAGATTTCCTCTCTGTGCCTAACGGTACTGCATGGGGAACGAGGAACAGGTGGTGTAGGCAATTCAAGACTATCTTTCTTATCGTCTTCAGTGTCACTTTTCTTGACTTGATGTTAAAATCAGGTACTGTGATTACTCATCTTATATTTGATTCTTATAAAGGTGCTTTCTCATATGGATACTTTAATTTGATGTTTCTGTGGGGAGAGGAGGGTGATCACTGGAGGGTTTTATTCAGCCATCTTGCTCCACCTCCACATTCTTCTTATATATTTTGGATATTAGTCCCTTATCAGATGTATGGTTTGCAAATATTTTCTCACAAACTGTGGGCTGTCTTTTCATGTCATTAATTTTTAATTAAAAAAATCGTTTACTGTTTTTGCAGTGCAGAAGCCTTTTAGTTTGATACCAATCCATTTATCTATTTTGGGTTTTGCTGTCTGTGCTTTTGAAGTCCTAGCGAAGAAATTATTGCCCAGACCAATGCTGGAGAGGGTCTTTTTAAAAAATATTTTCTTTTAGTAGTTTATAGTTTGGGATCTTATATTTTAAGTCTTTAATCCATTTTGAGTTGATTTTTGTATATGGTATGAGATCAAGGCCTAAATTTATTCTTCATATGAGGATATCTAGTTTTTTCAGCACTATATATTGAAAAGACTGTCCTTTTCCCATTGTGTGTTCTTGGCACCTTTGTTGAAAATCAATTGGCTGTACATACTTGAGTCTATTTGAAGGCTTTAATCTTCTTCCTTTCGTCTACATGTCTATTTTTATGGCAGTACAATGCTCTTTTGATTACAATAGATTACTCAAGATTGTTTTGGGTAATTTTTTCTCTCTTGATCTTTCCTGATTTCATAAAAACTTTAGGATTTTTAAAAGTTTCTGTGGCTAATAACATTAGAATTTTGACAGAGATTACATTAAATCTGTAGATAGTTTTGGGTAATGTTTACATTTAATGGTGTTTGAATTTTAATCCATGAACATAGGATATCTTTATATTTATTTGTGTCTTCTTCAATTTTTTTCATCAATATTTCATAGCTTCAGTAATCAGATATTTCACCACCATGGTTAAATTTTCTCCTAAGTATTTTTTTTCTGATGTTATTATAAAAGGTATTATTTTCTTAATTTCCTTTTCAGATAGCTTGTTGTTAGTGTAAAGAAATGCTAATGGATTTTGTATGTTGATTAACCTGCAACTTTACTGAATTTGTTTGACAATTCTAATTGTTTTTGGTAGATTCGTTACGGTTTTCATATATAAGCTTATGTCATCAGCAAGCCAAGACAATTTCAATTCTGCTTTTTCTATATGGGTGCATTTTGTTTCTTTTTCTAGCCTAATTGCTCTGGCTAGGACTTTCTGTACTATGTTGAATAGAAATTATGACAGTGGACATCCTTGTCTTGTTCCAGATCTTAGAGAATAAAACTCCCAAGTTTTCACCATTGAATGTGTTGTTATTTGTGGGCCCGTCATACATAGCCTTTATTGTTGCGGAATGTTGAGGTACATGTCTTCTATACTTATTTTTTTTTTTTTTTTTTTGCATCTATGGCTTTTCCCATTATTTTTTTTGGTGATGTACCACATTTATTGACTTACATATATTGAACTATCCTTGCACCCTGGGATAAATCCCAGTTGATTATGGTAAATGATATTTTTTAATGTGCTGCTGAATTTGGTACTGAGGACTTTTGCATCTATGTTCATTAATGATACCAGCCATCAGTTTTATTTTTTTGTCTGGGTCTGGTATTAGGGTAATTGAATTCTCATAAAATGAGTTTGGAAGTATTCCCTTCTTTCAATTTTGTTTTTTGAAGTGAATGCCTAAGAGATATATTTTTTTGAAATGCTTAATATCTCTAGTAGTAAAGGAAATGCACATTAAAATCACAATGAGATATCACCTCACACTTCTTAGAATGGCTATGTTTAAAAAGACAAATGATAACAATTATTGTTTGTACACTGTTGATGGAAATCAAATTAGCACAGCCATTTTGAAAAAGTGTTGGATTCTTCAAAAAATGAAAAATAGAATTACCATAAGATCCAGCAATTTCACTTCTGGATATATATCTAAAGGAATTGAAATCAGTATGTCGAGGAAATATCTGCACTCTTATGTTCATTACAATATTATTCACAGTAGCTAAGATTTGGAAACAACCTAAGTGCCTATCAGTAGATTAATGGACAAAGAAAATGTGGCAAATATACACAATGTAATACTATACAGCCTTAAATAAAAAGGTAATTCTGTCACTCACAAACAACATAGATGGAACTGGAGGACATTATACTAAGTGAAATAAGCCAGGCAGTAACAGACTAAATACTGTATGATTTCTCATATATGTGGAATCTAAAATAGTTGATCTCATAGAAAAAGAAAGTAGAAAAGTGGTTATCAGAAATTAAGAGGGGTAGGAGAAGGCACAGATGAAGGGAAGGTGTTGATCAAAGGGTAAAAAGTTTCAGTAGTACTGGAGAAATATTTCAGTGATCTACATACCACATAGTGACTGAAGTTAATAATAATATACTGTATATTTTAAAATTGCTGAAAGAATAATATTCTCACCACAAAAAATGATAAGTTAATGAGGTGATGCCCATGTTAGTTGGCTTCATTGACTATTTCTGCAGGCACACATAGATCAAAACCTCACATTGCGCTCCATTAATATACATGATTAATACTTTTCAGTAAAAAAAGAAAGAGGAAGAAGAAAAGAGAAAGAAAGAAGGAAGGAAGGAAAGAAAGAAAGAAAGAAAGAAAGAAAGAAAGAAAGAAAGAAAAGAAAAGAGAAGAGAAGAGAAGAAAAGAAAAGAAAAGAAAAGAAAAGAAAAGAAAGAAGTCTTTGCTCATGCCTATGTCCTGAATGTTTTGGATTTTTCACTTAAATCTTTATGCCATCTTGAGTTAATTTTTGTATAAGGTGTAAGGAAGGGGTCCAGATTCAGTTTTCTGCATATGGCTAGCCAGTTTTCCCCGCAACATTTATTAAATAGGGAATCCTTTCCCCATTGCTTATCTTTGTCAGGTTTGTCAAAGATCAGATGGTTGTAGATGTGTGGCATTATTTCTGAGGTCTCTGTTCTGTTCCATTGATCTATTTATCTGTTTTGGCAACAGTACCATGCTGGTTTGGTTACTGTAGCCTGGTAGTACAGTTTGAAGTCGGGTAGCACGATGCCTCCAGCTTTGTTCATTTTGCTTAGGATTGTCTTGGCTATATGCACTCTTTTTTGGTTCCATATGAAATTTGAAATAGTTTTTTTCTAAAAAATATTTATTGCAGCGCTGTTTACAAAAGCAAAGACTTGGAATCAACCCAAATGCCCATCAATGATAGACTGGATAAAGAAAATGTGGCACACATACACCATGGAATACTATGCAGCCATAAAAAAGGATGAGTTCATGTCCTTTGCAGGGACATGGATGAAGCTGGAAACCATCATTTTCAGCACACTAATACAATTACAGAAAACCAAATACCACATGTTCTCACTCATAAGTGGGAGCTGAACAATGAGAACACATTGGCACAGGGAGGGGAACATCACACACCGGGGCCTGTCAGGAGGTGGGGGGCTAGGGGAGGGATAGCATTAGGAATAATACCTAGTGCAGATGACTGGTTGATGGGTGCAGTAAACCCCCATGGCACGTGTATACCTATGTAACAAACCTGCAGGTTCTGCACATGTATCCCAGTATTTAAAATATAATATTAAAGTATAATAATAAAAAACTGTGAAAAAGAAAGAAAGAAAAAATAAAGAAAGAAAAGAAAGAGAAAGGAAGAAAGAGAAAAGAAAAAAAAGAATAAATGGATGCTCATTAAAGTGAAATGGCATATTAGGGATCACACTGCTAGTAAGTTTCAGTGCAAGTCTTGTTGTTCCCTTACAAACTTTGTATAGCCGTTATGCAGTAAGAGAAGGGTCCAGAGTGTGCTATGATCAGAGCAAAGACAACCTAGAGTTCAAATCTGCTATGTGAGTAATTGAAAATGTTCCAGAATAATAACCATCTCTAAATTCCTGTTGATAGTGGAGAGTCCCTGAAGCCTGTATTTTAGGTATTGCTGTTCCTGTGATGAATAAACTCATTTTTATATGACTAACCATGACAGGCAACACAGAAGGGTGAAAATACCCTGGTCACTAAGATAGCATGCCACATTTAAACCATGAACAAAGTCTATACTCAGGGGCAGAGGAATGGGAGAAAAGAGTAAACACATCAACAAGGAATCTCTCAAAATGAGTAATTAAATTTTAACTATTGGTCTGGGACATTATCCCTCAAGAATTGAAAATTAAGCCTAGGGCCCTAAAATGAAAAAACTCATATGAGTTAAGGATTTCACTGTGTATGAATTCATCATCATGGTCTTTTTCTAATATATAAAATAACTGAGTTGGGTTATAACAGTATCTCATTTTTAGTTATCATAAAAATATTTATTTTATTTCCATGGAGTTGTGTTTTTTCACATGGATAGCATTTGCTTTGTCTTTTATGGGATTTTGTTTGCATGCATATGTGCAGACAACAGGTATGAAGCAGATTGTATCCATATATTCCTTAATCTTTAAAATGGATATAAATGTATTTTAGATGAAATAAATGTATTTCATCTTTGTGAAGATGAAATTTGAAATTTACTCTCTTTAAAGTACTTAGCAAAATACTTGCCCTGCAATAGAGAATCACAGTGTGTAGCAATAAATATCAGTTCTTTTGGAGATTTGTTTTTCTTTTTTATAGAGAGAGTTTTTGTTGGAGGAAGAGGTAATTTATTCACCTCTACGCAACATCAGAATTTGTTAACTTTTGTTATGAAGTTTTCCAGCATAACATTCTTACTAATTTAAAGTTTGCCTCTCTATGAAGGCATGGAATTCCAGGAGCCTCTGCTTGTATATTCTCCTATTTTTCCTACATGCTTTGATCAAAACCAGATCCCAATGATTAATTCAAGAGGATTTGTGAAGCTATCTCACACTAAGCAGTAAGTTATCATATATAGTGTAATTTTTAATCACTGTAAGTGATGTGTTTTTATTTTATCAAATGACAATTATGTCTCCAGAATACCTTTTATAAATCAATAATAGGTTAATCAGAAAGATATTTTTTGGCCTGTTTGGCAACCTTCCCTAATGTTCTTACTTAATTCGATGGGGAATAAGATTATGTTATGATATAATGTTTATTCTGCTTAGCCCTTAAACTTTTTAATTTTTAAATGGATTTTTAAGTAATATTATTTATAGGCAAACTGATAATCTATGAAAGGATATCATAAATGTTGGTGATGCTAAATGCACATAGGGTTTGTACGAGTTTATGTAGGATCTAAATACCTCTATAGTGATGTGACAAGTACTCCCAATATGGTTATATCTAGTGGTCTTTCCATTCTTAGAACCCAAGTAAATTGGTATCAAATTTAAGAAATCTGGAGTTTATATGATACTATTAATTGTAATTTATAAAGTAGTTAGTTACTATGTGTCAGATACTATGTTAGAATTGCCAGGTGCACTTTCTAATATAATCATCAAAATAATTCTATGAATTAGGTGTTAATAGAGTTCTTGCTTAACATAGGACAAAGGTGAGTTTAGAGAAGTTTAGAAATTTGCCCAAGTGATTCAACACAGAATGATGGTGTCAGAATTTATGTCCAAATTGTCCATGTCCATAGTTTATGGTTTTAACCCCCACACTACATTGCTTTGCAAAGTTATCCTCTGAAAATGAAATATTACTGGATACTAACAATATCATCACTATCTGTCAAACCTATCTACCAAATGTAAGTAATAAATTTAATTATGCCTTGGAGAAAGAAATGTATTCACTTATACAGATGGTTTAAATTACAGAGATTAAAGTTTTTAGCTCTTGCAAATCTTGAATTTATGAAAGAAAATTAGACTTTTCTACTTTGATGTAAAATATATATTAGGTTTCTTTCTATGATTTGCAGAATAGAAAGATGAGTCATTTATCCATTTAATACATACAATCCTAATGTGTTGATATAATTCCATATACCCTGGCATAAGGTAAAGTGTAAGTTAGCCACAGTTTGTGCCTTTTTGTCAACTTTTTTTAATAGAATTAGATGGCTTTTGAGAATTAGTGTTGTTCAGTAAAGAACAGATAAATGATTGCTTGACAATAAGCTTCGACTGATATCATGCCTACCATGAGAGTAAATTTATTCCTAATAAAAGATAAAAACTTAAGAAGAGTAGAAAATAGGAAGGGTTTATTTGAGCACTGGCAGCATTAAATAGTGTTTATTAAGTTCTATGGGCTGGAGAAACATAAACAAACATATTAGGACCCCCAGAAAACTAAAGACAAACAGGATGCCCTGCATGGCTGGTATGAAAAGACTTAACAGGAGATTTCCAGGCATACAAGCTGAAAGGGCGTTTGGCAATAGTAGCTTTTACTTTGTGAGGTAAATCAAAGGTACATAACTAATTAGGCAATTGCTTATTTAATCAGGAGCATATATGAAATCCACAAATGATTACAAAATATCTGGGTTTCTTGAAACTCCGTGTTTAATTTGGTGAGTTTGCTTCAAACTGTGGGTGTTACACTTATTTCCAAAGATGTCTTTATTTCTCTTTCCTTATGAAGGAGATGAAACTTTGTGCATTATAAGAACAGAATAGATTTATATTCTGAAGCACTGCACAGTTGAATAATTTGTATCTGGCTTTCAACAGCTGCAGCTGTAACGTGACTGAAGATGCTCTTTGAGACAATTGTGAATTCAGAGGGATTAAGGGATTATTCTATTTTTTTGAATCTTCAAAATGTAGACAATGTTTAGAAGTTGACCCAAAATATTTAATGTTTCTTTTTAAGATCCAGTTTTATTTGTACTGCATACCTATTGAACCAAGACTATTATTTTTGGTGTGGTCTTCTTACTATGTATAGATGTAGATATAGATGGTATAGATATAACTATCCTGCTTACATATGTTGTAGGTACTTTTATATATATTAAAATAAATCCTCAAAAGATCTTGGATAAGTTCTGTCATGTTTTTGGAAGGGTTGCCAATAATTCTTATTCTGTATACATAACGAAAATCCTCTAATGAGTATCACACAATATAATGAAATGATATAGTTATAAATATAGATAATGAAATGATAATAGTTAACATGTATTGAGCACTTACCATCTATACCTAGTTAGGTGTTTTAGGTGATTTACATGCAGTATCTCATTTAATTTTTTCAGCGTCTCTAGGAGGTAGGTGCTAGTTTTACCCTATCCTGCACATGAGGAAAATGAGGCACGGACTGGTGGTGTGAATTGCACAGAGCCTCCAGCGGGCCAGTGATGGAGCTGGAGCATGTAATTCAGGTGAAGGTGGAGCATGTAATTCAGGCCCTTTGATGGTGGGTCCTGTGTGTTTCACCACTAGTCACATGGTGTCTGGATTGGCTCATGTTGTCAATAGATCATGTTGTCTGGGTCATGTTGTCAATAGAGAAACTCACTGTGGATGTCATTTCTTGCCACTATAGTCTAGAATCACTTCTAAAGATCATCAGAGCATTTCTTATTTACAGCAGAATTTTCTGATTGCTGTTTGGAGCCCGGAAGGGAACTCTGTAGCTTCTCTTGTCCACTGCCCTCCCTCCTGCCTCCGATGAAGTAGGACGGTGTGACTTGATTTCTCTCTCTTCCTTCCAGGTCCATCTTTTCTTATCCCTGGACATGAAATTTTAAATGAAAAGGTTTGCCAGTTCATAGAATTATTTGATTTGAAAACCATGATTTAAATCAAAGCTTGTGAAAGCCATCTAACACATACTACATGTGAGTCACTATTATTTACAAAACGATACTTTGATATATTGTTTTTCCTGACCTGCAACTACTTGTTTCTTTAATGTCTTCTTGAGCAAGAGTCTCCACTCCCTTAGGAACCAGTTTGCTTCCTTTACTGCAACTTGCCGTGACTGTAAGCTCATGACAGTATTATGAATATATGTTATATTTACCAATGTATATCCTGTGTCTACTACATACTACAATATCAAAAAGATAGTTTTGAAAGGAAGAAAAAAAGACCAAAGAAATAAAAAAAGAATTAATAAATGAATGGATGAATGACTGACAGCTACTTTTTGCTATTTAACTACGCCTACTTCTAGGTTTTTCATTACTAAATATCTTTTTAAGTTACTCCTTTTGAACTGCTCCAGGCTAGAAGTCAGTTAATCAAACATACTAACACTATATATGAACTGAGAGCAAATAGATGCAGTAGGGGCTCAAGGAGCTCTCAGTAAATAGACCTAGTAACTTTAACTTGTCTAGATAATTTTCATTAATATTATTTCCTTGAAATTATTATTATTAGAGAAGTAAATTCCAGATGAATGTAAAATCACTTTATGTTATTAGGTCTGTTAATAATAGATGTTGTTTCTGGATTACTTCCCATGTGTAGACATTGTCTTAAATTCTTTGTATACATTATTAATTTTAGTCCTTAAAATTTATCATGAAATACATTCTATTATTATTCTCATTTTATGCATAATAAGATCATCCCAGATTCCACAGTACGGAAATGGTAAGGTGGAAAAATTGGCAATTAATGTGCCTCATGACGGTTTTTGTTAGTGTGCACAGTCTTTTTTTGGTGTCAGGGTGTCTAAGGACTAGAAGGTTGCATCAGGGTAATGTAGAGGAAGCTTGGCTTTATGTGTAGATTAGTGGGGTAATGCATGAAGCAATAATCTTCATTGCCATTTATTTGAGTGATGTGTTGTGTTGCTCTGTCAGGTGGAGCACAACAGCAACAAGAATCAGATCTTTGTGAAGTAAGTGAAGTCTTTGAAGACTAAGTCTTTGAAGAATGAATCAAGTTTGAAATGATTATGAATAGGCAAAAGAGCATTCCCTTTCAGAAAAGGAAAGAATATTTACTTAACTCAAATCAGTATTTTAATTTGACAGTCTGATCTCATCAAATATTCCCTGAAAAAGCAGAAGAAAAGCTTTTCATTTGTACTAAAACTCAGATACTCAGGACACAGTCTTACACCAAGATTTCTCCTTATTTTTTCCATCCTGAGTTTCCAAAACTCTGACATATAGGGCATTTTGTTTTGTCTTCAGGTGAGTCAATGGTTCTGTGAGAGGAAGATGCCTTGAAAGATGGAGTCAATAAACACAAACTTCACTGTCACTGAATTTGTGTTCCTGGGGTTGTCCTCTGAACCAAAGATACAGCTTATTCTTTTTATTATGTTCTTGTTCTATTTATCAACGGTGGCTGGAAATGTTATAATCATCACTATTATCTAGATGGAACCTCTCCTCCAAACCCCCATGTACTTCTTCCTCACTAATTTATCCTTTCTGGACATTTGCTACACATCCACCAATGTCCCCCAAATGCTGTCCAACATGGCGGGGAAAAAGAACACCATCTCATTCTCCAGCTGCGCTACTCAGATGTACTTCTCCCTCTCCTTTGGAATGATTGTGTCCTCCTTGGTGTCATGGCTTATGACAGATATGTAGCCATTTGTCATCCTCTTCATTATACCTTCATTATGGACCAAAACACCTGCATTCAACTGGCAGTTATTTCTTGGTCCAGTAGCTTCCTGAGTTCCATGGTTATCAATGTTCTCACGTTGAGTTTGCCCTACTGTGGGCCTAATATCCTGAATCACTTTTTCTGTGAGGTACTTTCTGTCCTGAGGTTGGCTTGCACCAACACCTCATTCACAGAGCTGGTTGTTTTTATCTTCAGTATCATCATTGTCTTCATCCCTTTCCTCCTCATTGTTGTTTCCTATGTCCGGATCCTTCAATCTGTTCTCAGGATGCGGTCAGCCTCTGGGCGGTATCAGGCATTATCCACCTGTACCTCCCATTTGACAGTGGTAACCTTATTTATGGGACTGCCATCTTCATGGACATGAGACCACAGTCGAGGTCCTCCTGGGCTGGCGGCAAGATCATTGCGGTTTTCTACACGGTGGTCACACCCATGCTTAACCCCTTGATTTACAGCCTGAGGAACCAAGATGTGAAAGGAGCTCGAAGGAGAGCTATTGCAAAGCAGAGGATGTGACAGCTGTTAATGAGACACTAACCTTCACTCTTAATCTAACATAATTACCTTCTGATTATGAAGTGATAGAGTAAAAAGTAGCTTAGACAGTCAACATCTGCCCTGCCATTTATAAAGGACACATAAACCCAGGTGTAAATTCAGCAGAAAAAAATGTTTCCTCCAAGCACATGGCAGGGCTTTAATGTGTCCAAACAACTCCCTTCATTGAGCTACTGCTCTTATGTTACTCACTGAAAAACAAAACAAAACAAAACAAAACACCTGTTTCTTTAAAGTCACAGACTATCTGAAATTAATTTTTTGAAATTTTGTCAGTGAGGTGAAATATTTTTCTCTGTGCTTGAGAATCTAAGTCACTTTGATCCAGAGGAGAAATCTCAATTTCCAACTCAGGTGCAGGAATTCAGATTAAAGGTTTTTTAATGCAACAGTCCGCATCTGTGTTAATTTTGTAGTTTCCAGGAAAACAAGACCCCGCATCTACTTTTTGGTTTGGACTTATCATTGTTCCCTTTGCGTATCCTACTTTGTAATATTCTATCAAAATATTGCTTCATTTAAATTTCACCTAAACTCATTTCTTCCTACAAATCCTGTGATAGCTCTATTTCTTCCTGTGTTTGAAGAAATAGTCCATGGTTCTCCTGATGTGTGTTCCCTATCTTTGAAATGGGTCAGAAGCATCTTAATTTGTCTATGTATAAGTTTGTTCCTGGTGACCTTAGACTAATTGTGTATACAAGAGGATGGCAATGATCAGAAGCAGAAGATTTGGTCACATATTAATTAACATGTTAAAGGATTCATTTATTCATTGATAGCCTATTATTGTATGACTATGTAATATAATGTTAAACAGAATAGAAATGTGTCTTTTCCTCAAAGCATATATATGTCATATACTTATTGTCTATGTTATATACATTATACATAAATTGACAAATTTTGATAGCTGTAATAAAGAAATAATTTTCAAGAGGCAGTAATAGGCAATAGGTAAGATGTCCTCCTCTGAGGAGGTTGCATGCAAGGACCAGAAAGAGATATAAGAGAAAGATTGAGGTCTTTCTTAGTAAGGAGATGTTGGACCAAAACTGGAGATGTAAAAGAGTGGTGCTGCCTTTGAGGAAATAAACCAGAGCATTGGAGGTCTGGCTGGGGAAGCAGCTGCTAGCCCATGCAAGGCTGAGGGACTGTGGGGAGCAGTAGAGGCTTATTCTTAGTAAAATGTAAGTATTCTGAAGAAGAATGATACAGCACAGCTAACGTTTTCATCAGATTTTTCTGTGTGGTGTGTGGTGGACCTTAACTAGCAGCACACATTTGTGAAAAAGAGCATTTCCAGCATTTTGATGCTTTTCAGCCAGTATGTTGAAGGAAAATTATTCTTTGAAGTAGAAGAGTAGCTAAATATAATTTAGTATTAATAAAATTAATAAATGATTAATATTATTAATATTTAATTAATATGGTCTGTGATTTACACATTATTAAATTAGAGACAAACTCTAAAAGTTTCTCACTGGTTTATTCAACAATGTAGAGTAAAATTTTTTTTTAAAGTTCATCTTTCAGATATATCCAACAACTAAAATGAAACAATTTTTTTCTAACTAAATATAAAGATCATATATAAACAGTAAATAAGACATATCTAATTGCATAGGTAGAGTAGACATCACTGACTTAAAATTAAAAATATTTCAAAAGCTAAAAGCAAAATCACTAGCCAAATAATCAAATTCTTTACACAGTAGTTTTTTTTCTTTGTTGTTGCTTTTTATATTCACCTTGCTTTATGGATGACTCGATATATTTTATATTTGATTAATATGTAAAGTAGGAATAGAAATATATAGTTTAACAAATTTCCTTTTGAACATTTTATTAAAAGTAAAAGTAACATTTAAAATTCTCTCAGACATTATCAAATAAACAAGCATGTTTAGCAGTTAACTATTTATAATTCAGAAACATATTGTATTAGTTTTAAAAAAACACAAAATATCTAAATGTATATTCAATTAAAACATTTATTTTTTGATTCACAATATTATTAGCCCATCTTACCCAAGAGGTAATGATGAAATTCATTCTAAAAATGAATGAATTGAAAATGCAGAAAACATTGCGAAACCCTTCTCATAAGGGCGCTTAGCTTTTATAAATATATAAAACAAGTGGAAGTAAATATTTGCTTTTTAGCAATTCATTATTTAACGCAATGATCTCCAATTCCATCCATGTTTTTGCAAATGACTGGATCTCATTCTTTTTTTTTTTATGGCTGAATAGTAAACAGAAAAGAATGAATAAGACCTATTATTTAATAGCACAATAGGGTGACCGTAGTCAATAATAACTTAATTGTGTATTTTGAAATAACTTAAAGAATGTAATTTGATTATTTGTAACTCAAAGGATAAATACTTGAGGGGATGGATACTCCATTCTTCATGACATGCTTATTTCACATTGCATGTCTGTATCAAAACATCTCATGTAAGCCATAAATATGTACACCTACTATGTACCCACAAAAATTAAAAATAAATAAAAAATAATAACTTAAAATAAATAAAATGAGGATAATGTCTACTTCAAATGATCATTATATGAATTTAATAAGATTTAAAGTGGTTTGTTTATTGTGTGAGTACAGGAAATGAGAAAAGTTAGCCCTGTAGCCACAAGGTCACTGATTAGAGACTTAGCAATGGGATTCCAAGATTCCTGATTCTAAGGCAATTGCTCTTTCAGTTATAACATACCCTTGGTTTGTAGTTAATGGGATAGGAAAGCCCTTTTTTTTCTTACATTTCACAGAGCATACATGATTTTCACAATGGTGAAAAAAAGAAACTGAAGGCTAGAGCTGGACTGTTTCTGAACTGTCAACTCTGTATCTGTGCATTAGCTGCAGGTGGTTCTTTCCCCAAAATGAGTTATGATGTGACTAATTTTAAACTAGATCAATTACAACTTGTGTACAGATAAACCCCAGTAAATCCTAGGTTTTTTATCTTAAAAACTCTTCAGTGCCTTTCATGATGAATATGGCAGCTCTATACTTTAAGGCAACCATTGTGTTTCCCTGACTTTTAACTATGTTACACTGGAGGAAGGGTTGAAATAGAAAGATGATTGATTACAAGTATTCAAAACTGTTATTGTGACAGAATTTCAGCACATCTGGGAAAATGTTAGCTTATCCAAGATCTCAATCTGCTGCTGATACCTGACATTCTTGTTTTCAATTGAATATTTTGTAGCCTTTAGAACATGTGAATAAAAATTATATAATTTTTTCTTGTTAGTCATTCCTACATCAGGATTAATGAGACTGTTCTTTGAAAAGGGCCTGCTGATGCTGGTGAAGGGCATGGAGACCCATGGCATCCCAGGGAAAGCTAGGGTCTAATTAAGATACAAGACAGTACTAATTTTAGATGGGAGCAGGTAAGCTAACCTTGTAGACATAACAATCTTGCTAAAATCAGCCTTAGAGATTGCATCCAGCTTTATCTTTCTTAGAGCCCCAGAATTATTGGATTTCCTCTGAGGGCCAAGAAGATGTCAATATATACAGTTGACAAAACTATGATGCCTACTCCTTTTTAACATTAGGTAGAGAAGGTCAAAGAAATCCTGTGGTTATTAGTTGAACCCACCCACTTGACCCACTAAAGGGAAAGCTGAGGACAGAAAAAGAAGACGATTTTATTCCCTGATTATAGCTAGTCACCAGCAGAACTTAAATATCTGGCTCTTATCCTTGGACTTCGCATAGTCACTGATTTGTTACCAGTGACAGCAGATTCAGAGAGACAATACAGTCACTGGAAGCACAGCAAACTCCTTGTTGGCAAAAAGCCTTGTGTTTATATCCTCTAGAACCTGGCACATACATAACACTTAAAATTTTTTGCTAAATATATGAATGGATAGAACTCAGACTGAGTTACATTGTCCCTCACACCAGCCTCATTCTCCATGTTTTTAACTACATTTTCTCTGACTTCTTTTGAGAGTAAAAAAAATTTCAACATTTGGACCTGGCATTCCTCATGACCCCAGGGGAAAAAAAATTGTTCAGAGTTATTGACTATTTCTTTCTCTTACTGAGTCCTGTCCCAGTTTCTAATTAATATGTGAACCAACTTTAAATAAGAAATGAATGTATTTTGCCCAGTATGTCTTTCAAATATACTAATTTAGTTTATATTTCTTTCAGATTGCAGAGTTAAGGATTAGAGCCCACCCTTCAGAATTTAATATTCACTTAGCAAGGAGATGGTAACTTGGGTAGTGTTTATCGAAAAGTTATTTGCATTTTCTATGCCCTTCTACTACTGTCATTTACCTATGACAGAAACAGATTTTCATTTTGTGTTATTATTGAGATTTTTTTCCAATTAGCTTTTTGAAAGCAGCTTTCACATCCTTGTTCCGCAAACTGTAGATCAAGGGATTTAACATGGGGATGATAACCGTGTAGAACACAGAGGCCCACTTGTCTTGGTCCAGGGAGTAGCTGGATGTTGGCCTCAGGTACATAAACATGACTGTGCCATAGAAGAGGGTGATGCCAGTAAGGTGAGACCCGCAGGTGGAGAAAGCCTTAAGGCGGCCTTCAGCTGAACGCATTCTGATGATTGCAACAAGGATAAAGGTATAGGAGATGAAGATGATGAGGATGGTGCTGAATTCAATGAAGCCACACAGACTGAAGAGCAAGATCTCACTGATGTAGGTGTCTGAGCAAGAGAGGGCCAAGAGTGGTGGGATTTCGCAGAAGAAATGATTGATGATATTGGAACCACAGTAACTCAGGCTGAAGGTGAGGGTAGTGTGGGCTACTAAACTCACTAGACCAGCCAGGTAAGAGCCCAGCATGAGAGCCAAGCAGACCTGCTTGGACATGAAGGTGCTATAGTGGAGGGGTCGACAAATGGCCACAAAACGACCATAGGCCATGGCTGCCAGGACATAGCACTCAGCATCCACAAAACCTACAAAAAAAGCAAACTGGGTGGCACAGCTGGAGAAGGAGATAACTTTGTGATTTGTTAGGAAGTCAGCCAGCATCCTGGGGGCAATGGCTGAGGAGTAGCCCAGGTCAACAAAGGAGAGGTTGCAGAGGAAAAAATACATGGGTGTGTGAAGCTGAGTGTCTGTTGTAATCAGGATAATCATACCAATATTCCCCACTACATTAACCAGGTAAACTATGAGGAAGACCACGAAGAAGATGATCTCCATCTGAGGGTCCTGGGTGATGCCCATGAAGATAAACTCAGTCACCATTGAGCTGTTTTCTTTATCCATTGCTTCAAGTGTATGTGTGCCTGGATTTAGTTTTTTGATGGATGTAGTAAATTCCCTGTCACTGAAAATATTCAAACTAAAGACGAGCAATCATATGCCAGAGATATTGCAATATACATATATATATATATATTTATCTATTGTGTATATGTGTATACATATAGTTCTACAGTAAATGAAGGCTTTGTTTAGGATGATTCATAAAAATCTTTCCAGTAATTAGATTCTATGACCAATAGAATAACTCAAATGCTTTGTTAAAATGGTGATGTGTCCTCTCCATGTGCCCACTGACAGCATGAGGAGGTGTTAACTTCTTGGGAATGGCAAGTTCTGCTTCTTCAATGACCTTGGTGCTCCGGGGTCATTTATCACATGATACTAGATGTTTGACTCAGTCTGCACAATTGTGTGTCTTATTAATGAGTAAAGAAGAACAGTGTGGATATTTCTTCTTTCTAAAAGAAAGCAAATATAAATTCAGATAATGAATAAACTTTAATTTTCATTACAGGTAGACATAGATAGGAAAATAAGTGACACGAGGACCTCAAAGTATAACACATCACACATATACAGAAAGTGAAATACTTGGAACAGAAGATCAGACATATAAGAAAACACAGTAAATGATAATTTTTAAAAAGCCAGAGTTACTGAGTGGCACAAGAGAAATTAAAAAAGACATATTTCTGATTTAAAAAACTTGTATCCATAACATACAAAGACATTTTAATACCTAATAATAAGAAATCAGACAATCCAATAAGAATTGGTCAAAAATTTCAATAGATACTCACCAAAGGAGATCACTGAATCACAAATAATTGCGTAAAAATGCTCAAATATTCATTAGGGGAATACAAGTTAAAAACACAATAAAATAATGTTACACACTAATGATTAAAATTTTAAAAGACTGACTATACCAAGTGTTGACAAGGAAATGTAGTAATTGGAAATTTTATCGTTATTGGTAGAAATGTAAAGTAGTACAACCACTTTAGAAAACTGTTTCATAGTTTCTTATAAACTCAAAAATATGCATACCAACTCTATGATTCAGTCATTAAATAACCCTGCAAACAGCCTAACTGTACATAAGTGACAGGGTAAGTAAATTGGGGTATGTCCATAAAATGAAATGCTAATTAATGATTAAAAGAATCAGATTATTGACACATGCAATGTGTTAGATGAATCTCAAAATAATTAGACTGAGAGAAAACAGCCAGATAAAAAAGATAACTTTTATGATTTCATTTGTAAAAATCTAGAAAGTGTAAGATAATTAATATTGACAGGAGGCAGATCAATAGTCACCTGGATAGAGATATGTGTGAGGTGGAGCAGAGGGGAGGGAGTATCAAGAGGCATGAGGAAACTTTTGGGGGTAATGGATTTATTTACTATTTTGCAGGTGATAACGGTTTTGTGAGTGTATACATATATTAAGACATATCACATTTTATATTTCAAACATATTTAATTTGTTGCATGTCAGTTATACCTGAATAAAGCTGCTACAAAAAAAGAAGAGAATATTTGTCCCTACTGCAGTTCAGCTATTTCTCACTACATGTGAATGCAGACATCTCTTCATAGGTTAAATTGATGAGGAAATAAAAACCTAGGCTGAGGGGACTGACAAAGTCACTTGCTGATTCTGTGAGTTGCAGGATCAGCCATTGAATTTGGGACTACCAGTTCCCTATGTAGTGCTGTATTCATTGTATTCATTTTCCCCTTGTTTCTTCATGCAGGAATTTTAAAATAACCTACCAGGAAAAACGAAAAAAACAAACAACAACCACAAAAAAAACGAAAAATGATCTGATATTTTTCAGCATGTTCTTCAACTTTTAGCAAGAGAAAAAATAATCCTATTGTTGAAAAAGGACCTATCTAGCCAACCTTATACTTATACTTTATGTATGTATGTATGCATGTATTTATGTATTGTTAAGACGGAGTTTCGCTGTGTCTCCCAGGCTGAAGTGCAGTGGCACAATCTCAGCTCACCGCAGCAACCTCCGCCTCCTGCGTTCAAGCAATTCTCCTGCCTCAGCCTCCTGAGTAGCTGGGACTACAGGTGCTCGCCACCACGCCTGGCTAATTTTTCTATTTTTAGTAGAAATGGGGTTTCACCATGTAGGCCAGGCTGGTCTCGAACTCCTGACCTCAAGTGATCCAACTGCCTTGACCTCCCAAAGTGCTAGGATTACATGCATGAGCCACTATGCCTGGCCTATACTTATACTTTTATAGATGAGGAAACAGATTCAGACACTAATTAAAATGCAGATACCAGATTGCAATATTTAAAGGAGTAAGAGATAACCTTGTAAGAAGCACTAGGAATCAGGACTCTAATCCACAGCTGGGTATGTGCCAGTCAATCCATTTCATTTGATTGGAAAATGTAATTATCAGATAATTCCTTCCTCCCTTGTAGATTCGAGGCTCTGGTTAAATAAAGCAGTGTATGAGAAGGTGCTTCATCAGCCATAAAGCATCCTGCCTGTTCTCATTTATAGTGGACAGACAATTTCAGGTTTTACCATCTGCTACTCCTGATTTCCAGCACAATACTTAGCTTCTCGGAGTCATAATTTTTCATTTGTTCCTTGAGACTAATAATGCCTCCCTTAATAACTTTCTGTAAAAATTGATTAGAATATATAAAAAGGGCTGAATTTAGTGACATCATGTGTTAGGTGCTTAATGCAATTGTCAATTGTGTGCAAGTATAGATGTTTTAATTTATTAGATGAGCATGCACTCATAATTTCTAGAAAAAATGTTTCATGCTTATTCCTTAGAGAGAATGTATCACGAACTGCCTGAACTTTTAGGGAGACATAAATTTAATTCTGTAGTAATTCCATTAAATGATATTTAGAGACAAGGTTGTAATATTCAAAATTGAGCTTGACTAAGACAAAAGGAAAGAAAACCTCTACACTTTTCTTTTTGGTCCCATGTAGCCAACGTTCAGCCCATTAGACTCTTAAAGAAACGGTAGAATATTCAGCAAATAAGCATATTTCTTTGTTAATAATAAACTCAAATATTTAACAAAAGACCAGCACAAGTATTCTGTTATGGAAATAAAGGAAAAATGTACTTTAGATTTCTATGTATCACTTGCTTTTTCAAGTTCATATGAAAAGAATAGTGGAGCAAGAGTCTGGAGATCCTGGTTATAGTCCTATGTTTTTTAAAGAATAAATTGTTTGATCTCAGTAAATTGACACATTAGATGCACCTTCCTTATCTGTAATACAGATGGGGTGGCGAATACAAACTCTGTAGAATCTTCCATTCCTAGCATTTTTTGAATTTATACTTGTAACGAGATATCCTAAAAGCCAAACTCATGGTTTTGTCTTTTTTTGAAATGCTAAAATGGCAGGGACCTTGTGCCAAGAATAACCCATGCTCAAAGGGGCACTGGGCAGCATAACACTCCCCCCAACAGGTCACATCGCTTTCTACATTCAGACCTATGTCCTGACCTGCTTTCTACCTGTTGGTGAGAGGTTGAGTGTTCCCCTTCTTTGATGGGTTGTACCAAAGATATATTCTGAGAAGAATCGAAACACGGTGAATCAATCTGGTTGTTGTCTGAGCTACTAGCTCATCCCACCCTCACTCCTGTGTGCAGGAGGTATTTAAGTGTCACAAACAATTCCCAGAAGTACTTTATGCACTCACAGGAAACACAAAGGTTTGATGAACTGTGATCCTCCAAGGAATTTCACTCTCTTCTCCTTCAAATTGAATGATAAAAGAAGGAAACGCAGGGGAATTTTGTAAAGCATTCTAGTGATGATTGACTTAGTGAGAAGCACTGCATGGGGTGTTTTGTGCAACCCAAAGATGCCTACATAATGAGAATTAGGGAGTAGTTGAGAAAAGTCTTTTTGATGGTGCCTGAAAGTCATTTGAAAGAGGTTACTTTCTGTGTTTTATGAACTGACATATATGTATTGCTATAATGCTTAGAAAGAAATAAATACAGAGTTATTTCTAATTAAAAACAAAAATAAAAGAACACAGGGAAATCCTGGGTGGTGTTAGATATTTCTATTACCTTGATCGTGGTGTTGATATCATGGGTGTTTGCTTATGTCTAAATTCAACAAATTGTACACATAAAATATGTGTAGTTATCTGTGTATCATTTATAACTCAGTAAAGCTTTTTAAAAATAATTTCAGGTGGCATAAAAGAGCTACCACAAACAAAGTCTTATTGAAGTTCCTTGGAGAAACCAACATTTACCTATGAAGAAAATGAAGAAGCATAAATTAAAAAGCAGTAATTCAGAGTTCTATATACCTGTCACCATGAACTTTCTGGTGTTTCCGGTCATTTTCCATAAACTGCAGGCCAATATCCTTAGCAAACTAACGCAGGGACAGAGCACCAAATACCACATGTTCTCACTTATAAGTGGGAGCTAAATGATGAGAACACATGGACCCATAGAGGGGAACAACACACCCTGATGGAGGGTGGGAGAAGGGAGAGGATCAAGAAAAATAACTAAAGGATACTCGGCTTATCATCTGGCTGATGAAATAATCTGTACAACAAATACTTGTGATTTAAGTTTACCTACGTAACAAACCTGCACATGTACCCTGACCTTAAAAATTAAAAAACAGACACAATTAGTTTATATTTTCTTTTAATTTTTACATAAAAGAAACTTCAGGTGCTTCCTTTGGCAAAGAGGAATTTTTGATTTCATTCACTAGCAGATTGAAGAACTTCTTTCTGTTTCTAATCAAAATGAAAAAGGATCATTGAAATTTCACTCAGGCTTTTCTTTTTGCTGAGGCACTGACAGGGTTCTTTGAACTGATAAAACAGACTTTAAACCAACAAAGATCAAAAGAGACAAAGAAGGCCATTACATAATGGTAAAGGGATCAATTCAACAGGAAGAGCTAACTATCCTAAATATATATGAACCCAATACAGGAGCACCCATATTCATAAAGCAAGTCCTTAGAGACCTACAAAGAGACATAGACTCCCACACAATAATAATGGGAGACTTTAACACCCCACTGTCAACATTAGACAGATCAACGAGACAGAAAGTTAACAAGGATACCCGGGAATTGAACTCAGCTCTACACCAAGTGGACCTGATAAACATCTACAGAACTCTCCACCCCAAATCAACAGAATATACATTCTCTTCAGCACCACACCACACCTATTCCAAAACTGACCACATAGTTGGAAGTAAAGCACTCCTCAGCAAATGTAAAAGAACAGAAATTATAACAAACTGTCTCTCAGACCACAGTGCAATCAAACTAGAAATCAGGATTAAGAAACTCACTCAAAATCACTCAACTACATGGAAACTGAACAACCTGCTCCTGAATGACTACTGGGTACATTACAAAATGAAGGCAGAAATAAAGATGTTCTTTGAAACCAATGAGAAAAAAGACACAACATACCAGAATCTCTGGGACACATTTAAAACAGTGTGTAAAGGGAAATTTATAGCACTAAATGTCCATAAGAGAAAGCAGGAAAGATCTAAAATTGACACTCTAACGTCATCATTAAAAGAACTAGAGAAGCAAGAGCAAACACATTCAAAAGCTAGCAGAAGGCAAGAAATAACTAAGATCAGAGCAGAACTGAAGGAGATAGAGAAACAAAAAACCCTTCAAAAAATCAATGAATCCAGGAGCTGGTTTTTTGAAAAGATCAACAAAATTGATAGACCACTAGCAAGACTAATAAAGAAGAAAAGAGAGAAGAATCAAATAGACACAATAAAAAATGATAAAGGGGATATCACCACTAATCCCACAGAAACACAAACTACCATCAGAGAATACTATAAACACCTCTATGCAAATAAACTAGAAAATCTAGAAGAAATGGTTAAATTCCTCGACACATACGCCCTCCCAAGACTAAACCAGGAAGAAGTTGATCTCTGAATAGACCAACAACAGGCTCTGAAATTGAGGCAATGATTAATATCTTACCAACCAAAAAAAGTCCAGGACCAGATGGATTCACAGCTGAATTCTACCAGAAGTACAAGGAGGAGCTGGTCCCATTCCTTTTGAAACTATTCCAATCAATAGAAAAAGAGGGAATCCTCCCTAACTCATTTTATGAGGCCAGCATCATCCTGATACCAAAGCCTGGCAGAGACACAACAAAAAAAAAAGAGAATTTTAGACCAATATCCCTGATGAACATCGATGCAAAAATCCTCAATAAAATACTGGCAAACCGAATCCAGCAGCACATCAAAAAGCTTGTCCACCATGATCAAGTGGACTTTATCCCTGGGATGCAAGGCTGGTTCAACATATGCAAATCAGTAAATGCAAATCCAACATATAAACAGAACCAATGACAAAAACCACATGATTATCTCAATAGATGCAGAAAAGGCCTTTAAAATTCAACAAACTTCATGCTAAAAACTCTCAATAAATTTGGAATTGATGAGACATATCTCAAAATAATAAGAACTATCTATGACAAACCCACAGCCAATATCATACTGAATGGGCAAAAACTGGAAGCATTTCCTTTGAAAACTGGCACAAGACAGGGATGCCCTCTCTCACCACTCCTATTCAACATAGTGTTGGAAGTTCTGGCCAGGGCAATCAGGCAGGAGAAGGTAATAAAGGGCATTCAATTAGGAAAAGAGGAAGTCAAATTGCCCCTGTTTGCAGATGATATGATTGTATATCTAGAAAACCCCATCATCTCAGCCCAAAATCTCCTTAAGCTGATAAGCAACTTTAGCAAAGTCTAAGGATACAAAATCAATGTGCAAAAATCAGAAACATTCTTATACACCAATAACAGAGCCAAATCATGAGTGAACTTCCATTCACAGTTGCTTCAAAGAGAATAAAATACCTAGGAATCCAACTTACAAGGACGTGAAGGACCTCTTCAAGGAGAACTACAAACCACTGCTCAATGAAATAAAAGAGGATACAAACCAATGGAAGAACATTCCATGCTCATGGGTAGGAATAATCAATATCATAAAAATGGCCATACTGCACAAGGTAATTTATAGATTCAGTGCCATCCCCATGAAGCTACCAATGCCTTTCTTCACAGAATTGGAGAAAACTACTTTAAAGTTCATATGGAACCAAAAAAGAGCCTGCATTGCCAAGTCAATCCTAAGCCAAAAGAACAAAGCTGGAGGCATCACACTACCTGACTTCAAACTATACTACAAGGCTACAGTAACCAAAACAGCATGGTACTGGTACCAAAACAGAGATATAGACCAATGGAACAGAACAGAGCCCTCAGAAATAATGCCGCATATCTACAACTATCTGATCTTTGATAAACCTGAGAAAAACAAGAAATGGGGAAAGGATTTCCTATTTAATAAATGGTGCTGGGAAAACTGGCTAGCCAGATGTAGAAAGCTGAAACTGGATCCCCTTACACCTTATACAAAAATTAATTCAAGATGGGTTAAAGACTTAAATGTTAAGCCTAAAACCATAAAAACCCTAGAAGAAAACCTAGGCAATACCATTCAGGACATAGGCATGGGCAAAGACTTCATGTCTAAACACCAGAAGCAATGGCAACAGAAGCCAAAATTGACAAATGGGATCTAGTTAAACTAAAGAGCTTCTGCACAGCGAAAGAAACTACCATAAGAGTGAACAGGCAGCCTACAGAATGGGAGAAAATTTTTGCAATCTACTCATCTGACAAAGGGCTAATATCCAGAATCTACAATGAACTCAAGCAAATTTACAAGAAGAAAACAAACAATCCCATCAAAAAGTGGGTGAAGGATATGAACAGACAATTCTCAGAAGAAGACATTTATCCCGCCAACAAACACATGAAAAAATGCTCATCATCACTGGCCATCAGAGAAATGCAAATCAAAACCACAATAAGATATCATCTCACACCAGTTAGAATGGTCATCATTAAAAAGTCAGGAAACAACAGGTGCTGGAGAGGATGTGGAGAAATAGGAACACTTTTACACCTTTGGTGGGACTGTAAACTAGTTCAACCATTGTGGAAGACAGTGTGGCAATTCCTCAGGGATCTAGAACTAGAAATACCATTTGACCCAGCCATCCCATTACTGGATATATACCCAAAGGATTATAAATCATGCTGCTATGAAGACACATGCACACATATGTTTATTGTGGCACTATTCACAATAGCAAAGACTTGGAACCAACCCAAATGTCCAACAATGATAGATTGGATTAAGAAAATGTGACACATATACACCATGGAATACTATGCAGCCATAAAAAATGATGAGTTCATGTACTTTGTAGGGACATGGATGAAGCTGGAAACCATCATTCTCAGCAAACTATCGTGAGGACCAAAAACCAAACACCACATGTTCTCACTCATAGGTGGGAATTGAACAATGAGAACACATGGACACAGGAAGGGGAACATTACACACCTGGGACTGTTGTGGGGTCGGGGGACGGGGGAGGGATAGCATTAGGAAATATACCTAACATTAAATGACGAGTTACTGGGTGCCGCACACCAACATGGCAAATGTATACATATGTAACAAACCTGCATGTTGTGCACATGTACCCTAAAACTTAAAGTATATAAAAAAAAGAAAATAGATAAGAAACAGCTAAAGGCCCAGTGCAGTGGCTCACGTCTATAATCCTAGCACTTTGGGAGGCTGGGATGCAAGGATCAGTTGAACCCAGGATTCAAGACCAGTCTAGACAACATGGTGAAACCCTGACTCTACCAGAAAAATACAAAAATTAGCTGGGCATAGTGGTGTCCACCTGCGGTCTCCAGTTACTCGGGGGGCTGAGATGGGAGGATCACTGGAGTCCAGGAAGTCAAGGCTGCAGTGAACTGAGATTGTGCCATTGCATTTCAGCCTGGGTTACAGAGCCAGACCTCGTCAGAAACAAACACTAGAAAAGTGTCAACCAGAAAAGCTGTAGGTATACAAAACATACACTAAAGTGGGGATTTGTTAGTAATGTCAGTAATAATCACTATAGACAACTAAGCATTGATGTTTCTCGAGGATGAACTGGTGGGACAAGACAATGCCAGCTGCTTCTGGCTATCAACTTTTTTCCTAGAATCTCAGTTTTTACTAAGAGAATATTGAGTATATGGACGTTGGAGGAGATGTTCTATATTGTTCATTGCTAGGAAAGCATAAATCATCTTTCTACAAATGAAGGAACCTATAGAATCCACTCTTTTTCAATCAGATGGACGAGAGAACAGTTGAAAATTTCAGCTATTTAACAGTGTGGAGACATCCATAAATAAAAAAAGTTTTAGATATTTAACAGTGTGGAGGCATCTATAAATACAAGATCTTTAATGAAGATCTATAATAAACACTCTAGGGAACTGGAGACAAATTTGCAGTCTTTCTTACTCCTTGGTCATTAACAACAACAAAAAAAATTGTGGAAAATGACATCTTAGGGTAATTTCTGGAGGAGCGCTCTATCCTATCACATGTGAGGCTGTTCTAATATCTAGTAACATTCTCTTTAGTAACTTGAAAAAATTATAAATAACTTACTTCCATAAATAATTACTAAAACATTATGTATTGCTATAATTATTAAAGAACAAATACATGAAAAGTTATTTCTAATTAAAAAAATGTATATGAATCTGGCATAGGGACATACATCTGGAATTGAACATTGTAAGACAAATTAATAAGATTTAATCTTGTTTGAGAGCCTATTTTTGTGGACAGCGAAAGGAAATTAACATTTTTAAAGAACTTTTATTCACTAGAGATGCTGTAGGGCTGCTTCACACATGTGATCAATTGAATGTTTTGGGGCTAATGTCTCTGGTTTCAGATAAAATTAGTGAATTTCTTCTTTATAGATAAAGTGAGTGACTGAGAGTTACTTCCCATTTCTAGGGTTACACAGCTTAGTGAGGTAGATAGAACAAAAACACCCATCTGTGTATCACATTCATGCTTTTACTCCTTTTATAAGAAGGATGAGAAGATCAACATCCACAGGGCTAAGATTCTCACCCAAGGAAAGAATTTAGGGCACCTTGACAAAAGTTTTCATTTTTGATCTCATCGTATATATTCTTGAGGAAAATAGAATGAAGGAAAGATAAGATTCAAATATTAAACCAAAAAATGGGATTAAGTGAGTAAAAATTTTTATGCATTTTTTTGTAAATTTCAAGAGGTAACATACAAATTTGTTCCAAATTTCCATTGTGAAGCAAACACAAAAGAACAAAAACACTAGGAAAAAAGAGCAGTTTTAAGATTCTCATTGCCTGTACAATTGAAAACCACTTAGGAAATGCTATTTGACTTGAGAGGCATTTCTTCTATGCGTCCTCACATAGAGTTTACTGTGTGATGCACTGAAAAATATCCTCAATTAATTTCCTAGAGAAAATACAATCAAGAGTTTGCTTAGGATCTCATAAGATCCTTCAACGTACGCTCATAGACATAAAGGAAAAACACTTCAATTATTGAATTTCACTATTCCAAGTGAATAACAATCTAGATTAGAATGAAAGAAAATGGAATGGAACTTTTCAGTGGACAGCGGGAATACTTACATGTGTATGTGTGTGCATGATGTGTATATACATACACACATGAATTACACATGTATGTAGCACGTGGGTTCATACTGTTGTTTCTAAACACAATTTAAAAAAATTTTTTAATTTTAATTTTTATTTTTTGAGACGGAGTCTCGCTCTGTTGCCCAGGCTGAAGTGCAGTGGTGCGATCTCGGCTCACTGCAGGCTCCGCCTCCTGGGCTCACGCCATTCTCCTGCCTCAGCCTCCCGAGTAGCTGGGACAACAAGCGCCCGCCACCAGGCCTGGGTAATTTTTTGTATTTTTTAGTAGATACGGGGTTTCACCGTGTTAGCCAGGATGGTCTCAATCTCCTGACCTCCTGATACACCGGCCTCGGCCTCCCAAAGTGCTGGTATTACAGGCGTGAGCCACCGCGCCCAGCTAAACACAAATTTTAAACCTACAAAGTTGTTTATTAGTTTTTGTCTTTATTCCTGAATCTTTTTTTCTGATAACTACTTAATTCCTAATAACATTGACATAATCGCATATTTTTAGATGTTAGTTTTCAAGTCAACTTTTGGGTCTTTTCGTTTTTTACTTTTTAAGTAAAGCAAACATTTACGTGTTTTCCAAGTCAAAATTTTACAATAGTGACACATACAGGAGTCTTATTTATACCCCTGTTTTCTTTACTCCATAACTTCCCTCAGTCTAGCCATTTCATCTTTTTCTATTCACATATGTATTATTTACTTCTGAAGTATAAGTGATGCATATATATATATTTATATTTTCCACTTCTTATATACATGTTGTCATTTATACCATATTGCAGATTGATTTTTAAATTTTTCACATATTCTGTAACTTACTCTATGTCAGCATATAAAAATCATTCTTTCATTTTTGCAGCTTCATAATAATCCATTGTGTGGATATACCATTGTCTATCAGGTATCTGTTCCTAGACATTTGAGTTGGTATCGAAATCTTGCTATTAGGAAAAAATGCAATGATAAATAGCTAACTGCATATGCTTTTCCCTACTTTGTCCAGTATATCACTAGGTTGGTTTCTTAGAAGAGGGATTATTGGGTGAAAGGGAAATGTAATAGGCAGTTTTGCTAAATGTGGCCAAATCTCCTCAAGCAATGCATGTGTGCTTCTTTCCCCTGGTCTTTCCAGTAAAGTTTATTGTCTAGGTTTGTATTTCCCATCTAAATTTACCTCTATCTATCTATCATTTCTCTCTTTCTCTCTCTCTCATTTATCTATCTATCTGTCTGTCTATCCTCTATCTCTGTTTTTGCTGATCTTAAAGGTGGAAAATGTTCTTAGAAGCTAGTTGTAATTTGTATTTTTTCTTGTTAGGAATAAATATTGTTCTACTCATAACTTTTTCTGTCTTTCAACTCCAAACTTACCCATCTTTGCCCCGCTTTGGTCCTACTGCACCTGGACATGGTAAATTAACCCTACTGGGTGCTTTCTTGCTTGCTAGGCCTGGCCAAGGAATGCCCCTGCCATGTAGCAGGACACAGCAACACCCAGTACAACCACATCAGAAGGAGCCGTAAAGGAGGGGTGGGGGTCTTCTAGTTTGTTTGTTTGTTTTTTCCTACTGTGGATGTTCTGCTTCAGCTCTAGAGGCAGTGGCTGCTCTGTATCTATTCTTCCTGTTTACTTGAGACTTTTCTCAATCACTCGATAATTAATTTACTGCTACCAGGTGATAATTCTCTATATTAAATTTTGTCTGTTAGAATTACTGTGTGGTTTTCTGTCTCCTGACTGGATCCTGGCCATTAAAAAGATGGAACTTTTAAAAATATTAAAGGGACATTTATTTGCATTTCTGTTTTTGTGTGTCTAATTTTATCAGTGCACATTTCTTCTGGCTTTTTGATGTTTTTATTAATCTTTCTCTTCATAGCTTTTAGGTATTCTTTATATATGGGAGACATTTATTTGGCCTGGTGTATAAGGTATACCTTTTCTCCACTTTATCATTTATCTTCTGATTTTGGTTAAGATATTTATTACCATACAACAGGTTTTTTTTCTTTCCTTCCTTTCTTTTTCCTTCATGTTGCCAAACTTATCAATTTTTAATTTTGTCATATCTGGATTTTGAGTCCTATTTATATTCAAATTCACATCAATTATTAAATAATTCATCGTGTTGATTTTAATACTTGTATGGCTTAATTTTTTGTCTTTATAATTTGATTTGTTAACATTTTGACAGTGTATGGTAAAAGAAAAAAAATCAAATTTTATATTTTCCATAAGACTATACAACTGTCTAAATGGCATTTATTTAAAAATTTACTTTTCCTCCAATGTTTTGGGGTGCTGTTATTACGTATTGAATCTTACTTTCATTTCATTGGGTCTTTATCTTTATTTTTCCTATTTTCTGTTTATTTGCTACATTTACACAAACCATTTATCAATAATACATGGTTTTAATTATACAAGCTTCCTGATATATTTTATACCAGTAGCTAGGTCTAGCCCCATTTCCATTTGTTCTCCTTTAAAAGGGTTTTCATTGCTATATTAGAATTTTTTTTTAAATCTTCCATATAAACTTTATAGTCAACATATTTAGGGAAAGGTATTGGAACAATGTAAAATTTATGAATTAACTTTTGGACAACTGACACCTTTAGGCACTCCAATCTTGCTATCTAAGAGCACATATGTCTTCATATGTGCTCAAGTCTACTTTTGTATCTTTCCGGAGTTTTACAGTTTTTCTCACAGACGTTTTTGCATATTTCTCATTTGGTTAATAGGTATTTTATGTTTGAAAATCATAAATGGGAATCTTCTCTTCCATTTAAATGTTCTAATTGGAGATTTGCTGGCTTATATGAAGGCTATTAGATCAATTTTACATTTTGCTAATTTACTAAGCTCTTTCTCTTGTACTAGTAGTGGCAGTAGCAGTAGTAGTATTTAATGTTTGGTGTGTTGGAATATAGCCATACATTTTTTAAGATTTTACTTTAAGTTCTGGGGTACATGTACAGAACGTGCAGGTTTGTTACATAGGTATACATGTGCCATGTTGGTTTGCTGCACCTATCAACCTGTCGTCTAGGTTTTAAGCCCCGCACGCATTAGGTATTTGTGCTAATGTTCTCCCTCCCCTTGCCCCCAAACCCCCAATGGGCCCTGGTGTGTGATATTCCCCTCCCTGTGTCTGTGCATTCTCATTGTTCAACGCCCACTTATGAGTGAGAACATGCGGTGTTTTTCTGTTTCTGTGTTAGTTTCCTGAGAATGACGGTTACCAGCTTCATCCATGCCCCTGCAAAGGACATTCTTTTTTATGGCTGCATAGTGGAATATAGCCATACTTTATACTAGATTAAAAAAGCTTTCTTTAGGATAAAGTAAATTTATAAGGCCTAAGAAGGGAATTCCTCTTCTTGGTTTGGCCAGGTGACATAAAATCTATTTGGATGGAACCGTGTTAATGGCTGGAGACTGGCACGTAAACCTCCTCTGTAACAGTGATTCTATAACCTTTTGGACCCAATGCCATCTTTTTATAGCAAGTATTTTATCTTGACCCTTCTATGCTCCTGAAAGAGCTATGACATTCTCAGAAACTATTATTTCCCTACATGCATAATTTAAAGAGAAAAAATAAAAGGAAAGTAATTGATAGTAAACAAATTAATGCTTATTTTAGTTACTAACTGGTCAGGCATAACTACATAATGAAAAGGCAGATGCTTGTATGTATATGAAATCTCCATAAATGTGACTATTAAAAAATGCAGGCTGGTACAAGTTTGTCCTATAAGCACCTCAAGCAGTTTTGCTATCTTACAACTGAGGACGTAAATTTCTGAAAGGATGAACAGCTCTTAGTAAAGCTCCAAACCATTTATTCCCCTAGAGTTACTTAATAGATGCATTTATGGCAAGTTTGTTACATAAAAAATCATGCAACAATATTCATATTTATATGTAAAATGTGTTTACATGTAAAATGGAGGTAGATCTATCTAAAAGGCTTAGACAATTGTATCAAGTGCATTATAACTATCAGGATACTTAAAAATTCCAGGGGGAATGGGCAATTTTTGTTGTTTGGGACTATCTTATAGCTTGCAGGCTTTTTGTATTTTTGCCTCCCACTCACTAGATTCTACAGTATATCCCTCTGTCACTATGACAGCCCAAAATTTCCATAATGTCTCCAAAAGAAAAAATCACCTCCACTGCGATTGCCTTTAAGTTGTAGGCATCTGACATTAAGTAATTCTTAACTAAGGGATGATAAAATTTGCTGTTAGAAATTTAGCCACTCCACCTTTCCACTCCTAATACCTATAATTCACTCTCTCAGCAACTACTGTCATCAAGATACTACTCCGGAGGTTGCCAATATTGCCCAGAGCACATAAAATAAGCCATTAGTCGTTATTGTGGTTTATGCATTATCCATATTTAAAACAGAAGGATTTTTTTTTTTTTCACAAAATCTTTGCTGCCTTTGAACTGCAGAAACACATAATGGTTAGCAATACACATTCTGGAGTATGAAAAAAACTGTTTGAATCCCATTTCTGATCTGAATTAACTATTTAGACAAGTTCCTTTTCAAGGCCCAACTTACTTATTTGTGATGGGGAATGCATGTATCAGAAAACACATGTGTTTAGGGGGGCACATGGCAAGCAGGACATGCCCAGTAAATGTTAGCTGCTATTATCTCTTAGCCCAGTCTCTTCTTCTATGACTAGGGAAAGGTCTGACTGAACAGGTTCTCACATTATTCATGATACATGTTAATGTGTAAGCTCTCTGGAGTGGAGGTCACATCTTTATTAGTCTTCATTTCTTCTATTAGTTGCCCGATAAATGCTTGTTGCTTGGTTATTGGCCTGTGGGGGTCCCTTGGTTCTTTGTAAAATGTTCTTTGCAACTTAACTGTCAGTGATTCACTCTTTACAGTACTGAGCTCAAAATTCTGTTACCAGTGTGAATTCTTCAAATTCTTCATAGAGATTTCATTTCATCCTGACTCCTGATTTGTTCTCATTGTAGTGGCAGGGAGATATACCATCATCTGGTGCCTCTTTGATGACACTTGTTGAGTTATCTTCTTGTTTTGAAGCTCTTTATAGCCTGGGGCTGATTAGGTCCTACAACCTAACCTGTCCAGGTCCTAATTACTCCTTTATGCCTAGAAGTCTCATTCTACCACTCCATTATTACCTAAAATCTTGATATTCTATGTCCCTTACCACTGACCCCCTTATGCCATATGATCTTTCTTCCAACCTCCTTCCATACTGTAATTGCACAAACCTTAATCTCACTTAAATCATCACACATTGTTCTCATATAACAACTGATTTACACTTATTGCGATTACTTATTTATTTATTGAATAAATCGTCTCATTTACTAGTTATGTTTGAGACTCTGAATTGACAGGAACCTACTGCATTTTTCCTCCAAGGTATTAATTTAAAAAGCAAGAAGGTTAAGACTTAATCAAGGTAATGCAAATATTTCTTGTCTGAATTGCTTGACATAAAACAAAACAGTTTTAAAGTCTTTGTGTCCCTCAGCATTTCAGGCAAATTGCATTGATTAAATAATACAGAGAGATGGATTAATTAAAGTGTCTTCTCAAAGTAGCATAAATAATGTAAATGATGATTAGATATTGATCAATTTGTTTCAGATTCTATGTCTTTTATATGGAAGATATTTTTGGACAATAGGACATCCCATATGTCTCAATCTAGGCTAGATAGGCTGATAACTATTTATTTCCTTTTTTTTTTTTTTTTTTTTTTTGAGATGCAGTCTCACTCTGTTGCTCAGGCTTCAGTGCAGTGGCACCATCTCGGCTCACTGCAACCTCTGCCTCCCGAGTTCAAGTGATTTTCCTGCCTCGGCCTCCCAAGTAGCTGGGATTATGAATGCACACCACTATGCCAAGCTAATTTTGTATTTTTAGTAGAGGCAGGGTTTTGCCATATTGGCCAGGCTGGTCTTGAACTCCTTACCTCAGGTGATCCACCAGCCTTGGCCTCCCAAAGTGTTGGGATTACAGACATAAGCCACTGAGCCTGGCCACTGATAACTATTTCTTACTCTGGAGAGTGGGGAAGAATGTAAGGGTGAGGGAAACTCATTTATTAATTATTATATGTATTGGATGCAGCAATTCACATTTGTTAAATTATTTTCTCTCTGGAGTCACCCTATAAGGTAGATATTAGAAAGGAAAAAGCTAAGACACAGAAGGATTTAGTGAAATGCCCAAAGTCACACAATCAGAAGACATGGAGTCAGGATTCCAAGCCAAGAACTTCCTGTTTTCTCTACCTCTCTCACCACTATCCAGGTAGCCCAACTGCTAACATGTACACTTATAGAAGATGGGGCCGCAGGTAGATCTAGTCTGCTATTTTGTGGATTCTTTTGATTCTCCCAAGGACAAACCTCCAGCTACCAGGGGAGACAGAAGAAGGATGGTTCATGGTGGTTAGGAATATGGGACTCAAATTCATTCTCCGCTGGGCCCAGGTGTCCCAAGGGTAAAGTAGAGAAACATGAAAAAGGGCTGTGATTTTCTTAATTTCAGAGGGGAAAAATAAGCAGATTACAATGAGGTGACATGAGAGACACAGTCCCTGGAGACCAACTAACAAGAAATATGTTTTACTTGTTAGGATGCTTACTTGAGAGTCAATTCTAGAGACTCCACAACTGAAATTAACTGCAATTGATATGACAACTGCACTGCAGT